>NC_000001.11:233759879-233911394 GCF_000001405.40 Homo sapiens
ATACGTCCAGGTTTAGTGAGTCACTCACCAGGTAAATTGTTGAGATGGATGAAAGGTGTATCTATGGGTACTATTATGCATACTTGTGTATATGTTTAAATTTTTCCACATTACATCTCCAGAACCTGATTACTTCTCACCACTTCTATGCTATAACCCTAGTCCAAGTCATGAAGACTTCTCTGCATTAGTTACAACAGCCTCTGAACAAGATGCTCTCTTTCTTTCCTTGCCCCGCTACAATCCATTCTCCTTAGTCCTTTCAAAACAGAAGCCAGATTATCTCACTCCTTTACTCAAAATCCTGTAATGATTCCCATCTCAAAGTAAAATTCTACAATATCAGACAAGGTCCTCCAAGGTCTGGCCCCTCATTATGCCTCTATGCTAATGTCTTACTTTCTTCCTATTACTTATACCACTTCAATCACTCTGGACTCTTTATTGTTCTTTGAATGTTGCAGCCATGTTCCAGGTTCAGGGACTTTGCACTGTCTTAATTACTTTCCCTGGATGTTCTTCTCCTAGACATTTTCAAGACTGACCTCACAGCCTTATTCAAGTGCTTGCTCAGTTTTTACCTGCACGGTGAGGTTCTTTGAAGCAGATTGGAATATAGTTTGCAACTCTTCACTACCTCTCTGCTACAGAATTAAACATTGACATCTGGGTGATCAAATCTCATTAAAGTAGGGGGTGGTATGCTTCCTTCCTACCTGGGCTTATTTCATGGGACTTGCTTATAAATTAGAATGCTAGCAAAAAAGACACAGAGGTCTTGAATATGTTTAGGTGATTTGGCACTGACCATGAGAAAAACACATCCTTGTTCAAGAGGAATGAGGACATATATGAGACAGACCTGAACTCGACCCACAGCATAGTCCAAGTCCAGTTGACCCACTGACCAAAGATTATTGTAAACAATTGAGATTTGCGGATTATTTTCTATGTAGCATTATCAGGGAAATAGGTCAGTCGTGTACCCTCCCTGACCAACTATTTAAAATTGTGCTCTTACGTCTATCATTTCCAATAATCCTTACTATTCTCTATGTTTTCTACAGATTTAACATTTTTTAACACGCAATATCTTAAAATAAAGTTTATTGTCTCTTCTAAATGTAAGCTCTACTTTGGGCCAAGCTCTTTATCTGTTTTCTTCTCTGCTGTATCTGTGGCTCTTGAAACAGAGCCCAGCATATAGTAGTTGCTCAATAATGGAATGGGACAAATAAGTAAATGAATGTTTATTGCACTTTTGCTTGATAGCAAAAACTTGAAAATGACAGGAGAATGAATACATAAATTGTGGCTTAGTATAGTCTCTAGCAGTTAAAATGAGTGAACAAGGGCTATATTATCAAAACAAAAATAAATCTTAAAGATATAAAGTTGAGGGGGAAAGCAAATTGCAGAACGAACCTAACATTTGGATAAATTGTAAAGAACTATTATAATATTGTTTATGTATATATACATAACTATATACATATATAATTAAAATATATCTAAGGAATGATAAACATTAGTTCAAGAACATGGCTGCCTCTGGTAAGCTAGGAAGAGAGATCAAGGAAGGAAGGTGGGCAATTCAACCATGTCCATAGCAAAATGTTCAGATCTGTCAACAATAAGTGTTATTCATTCAATACATGAATGTTGTTTATAATGTTCTCTCTCACCATGTTTAAATATTCTTCATTTAAAATTCTAAACACTTAATTTTATTGATTAATAATATTTTCACATGGCACAAAACTCAAAAGATAATAATAAGTTATGTGGCAAAAATTCTATCTTCCAACCCTATCCCCTGGGAAGCCATTTACTTCCCTGAAGGCAACCAATTTTACCAGTTTCTTATGTATCTTTCCTGTGTTATTCTGTGCATATTCAATAAAGGTCTTTGTTCTTTCTTATTTTATAATTTACAAAATTTGTAGCATATTATGAACATTATTTTGCATTTTCTTTTTTTCATTGAAAAATATACCGTGGAGTTCATTCCATATGAATTTGTACTTGGTTATACAGCACTTCCTTATCCTTTTTATTAGTGGCATAGTAATCCATTGGATGGATGCATCAAGATTTACTTTGTTTCTTGATGAGCATTTTGGTTGGTTCCAATCTTTGGTATTACAAAAAAAAAAGTTACCAGAAAAAACTTTATACAAATTAATTTTATTCTATACCTGTATATGTATGTGTGTGTATTTGCAGGATAAATTTCTAATAGTGGGATTGCTCTCAGTTATACTATAGCAAATGCTATTGTATTTTTAATTCATAATTTAAAATTTCTATAGATATGACAAATTTCCCTCCCACAGACAATGTACCAATTTAGACTCCCACTGACAATAAATGAGAGTGCCAGTTTTCCCATATCCTTGCTACACATGGTGTGTTCTCAAACCTTGTAAGGTAAAGAAATATTAAAGATAAAGATTACTTTGACTGAATTGTGGAAAATGAACTCAAGGAGAGAAAGTCTGAGGGCAAAGAAACTATTTATAGAGTCATATACTACAAATGAGGTAAATATGGAAATCACAGTGAAAATGGAGAAAAATGGATGGATTTGAGAGATAATTAACAGTTATCACTGACAAGATTTAGATTTCATTGATTTTAATGCACAAACATCAATTTTATCAACATTTGTAAAATCAAAAATGGAAATAACCTACATGTTCAAAAATAGATGTTTTAAATAAATTATAGTCTATACCTATGATGTTATGTCACTCAGCAATTAAAAAAATAAGCTGTTAAAGAACAAATCCAATGGTGAGAAAATTTTCTAATATAATGTAAATACAAAAAATTAGACGCAAAACTGAAAATACAGCATGGTCTCAATTTTGCTGATCTATCTATCTATCTATATTTTTCAAGAAATGCACCAAATACATGACATTTTTCTGAATAATGAGATTACATTTTTACATTCTTCTGAATGATGAGATTATAATTTTAGTTTTTACTTATATTCTACATTTTCTTTACCAACATTATTTTCTATGAGAGAGAAAGAACAATTGCATGAACAGATTATATAACAAACACTGTCATTTCCAGTTTGACATCATTGGCATAAGTTACAGCTGTCCTCACTTATTTTTCTCCAAAGCTACTTTATCTTTAAGAATTTCAAAATGCAGTTGAATTATGCTGCCTGTGAGAAGATGATTATGATACTTGTAAAATGCAAGGTAAAAGCCTTGCGTGATGTAAGTGATAGAAGCAAGTCCTCTCATTATACCCTTAAAGAGCTTTCATAAACTCAGACTGTTTAACTCCTTTTACAGTTGAACCAAACAATTTCAGTTCTCAGTTTGTCTATAATTATACAGTTTTACCAAGAATCTGATTTATTATCTAGTACAGATGATGTGAGAACATTCTGAAAAATCTTTTTGTTTTTGGTTTCTGCACTTATTTCACAAAGTTGTTGCAGTAGATTTCTTTTTAGTGAATTTACAATTAAAAGAAAAAACCTAAGTTAGATTATTTTGCCTATCATGGTATTTTGGGATAGAAAAAGTACTTTATAGGCATTAACAGATTAATTCTTTGAATTATGCTATAAATAGTAAGTAAAGAATCATAGAGACAGAAGTTAATGTAAAGTAAAAGTGACGTTTAGTAATAATTTGGTCCTAATACTATTTTAAAATATAAAGTTTTCCTTTAAAAAAAAACTCTGCCCTAAAACTTCACCCCTAGAATATGTTCCTAATAAATATGACAAACTCTAGCTATTAAACAACTTCATATTTAATTAACCAAAAAACACATTTGTCCAATACCACACTGAGGTGTTTTTTTTTATATAGCAGGTACTTAAATTATCCTTCTCTAAGCACCCAGAATAAAAGTATACTGTTCCTTTTTCCAATTGCTTTAGCCCAATCACTCTCTTCCATTTCATCTCTGCTGTGACTTAACAGATGACAGTCTTAACTTTGGAGCAGCCTTCAGCTGTAGAAGAAGACAAAATAAAGTAACTCAAGGCCTTAAATTTGTTGGCATCTGTTCTTTAAAATGTAAGCCTGAATGATTTACGAACTATTGATGTCTGTGAAGGCACATTTATGAGTGTATATGCCTAGAAGGCACAAGCTATTGTCAAAAGAGCTGAACGATCATTTCATTTGGGTCTGACAAGACTATCGTCATTCTTTAACAAAATGTCAATCACTTGTAATAATCTATTTTAGCCAAGTAGAAGTGAAAGCCTGACATTTGCAGGCTGTACCCTGAAAGGTGTTATGGAATTTTCATTTTTTAATAATTATGCTTTAAGTTCTAGGGTACATGTGCACAACGTGCAGGCTCGTTACATAGGTATACATGTGCCATGCTGGCCCGCTGCACTCATCAACCCATCGTTTACATTAGGTATTTCTCCCAGTGCTATCCCTCCCCCTGCCCCCAACCCCATGACAGGCCCCAGTGTGTGATGTTCCCCGCCCTGTGTCCAAGTGTTCTCATTGTTCAAATTCCCACCTATGAGTGAGAACATGCGATGTTTGGTTTTCTGTCCTTGTGATAGTTTGCTGAGAATGATGGTTTCCAGCTTCATCCATATCCCTGAAAAGGACATCAACTCATCCATTTTTATGGCTGCATAGTATTCCATGGTATATATGTGCCACATTTTCTTTATTCAGTCTATCACTAATGGACATTTGGGTTGGTTCCAAGTCTTTGCTATTGTGTTTATTGCCACAATAAACATATGTATGCATGTGTCTTTATGGTATCATGATTTATAATCCTTTGAGTATATACTCAGTAATGGGATCGCTGAGTCAAATGGTATTTCTAGATCTAGATCCTTGAGGAATCGCCACACTGTCTTCCATAATGGTTGAACTAGTTTACACTCCCACCAATAGTATAATAGTGTTCCTATTTCTCCACATCCTTTTCAGCATTTGTTGTTTCCTGACTTTTTAATAATCGCCATTCTAACTGATGTGAGATGGTGTCTCATTGTGGTTTTGATTTGCATTTCTCTGATGGCCAGTGATGATGAGCATTTTTTCATGTGTCTGTTGGCTGCATAAATGTCTTCTTTTGAGAAGTGTCTGTTCATATCCTTTGCCCACTTTTTGATGGTATTGTTTGTTTTTTTCTTGTAAATTTGCTTAAGTTCTTTGTAGATTCTGGATATTAGCCCTTTGTCAGATGGGTAGATTGCAAACATTTTCTTTCATTCTGTAGGTTGCCTGTTCACTCTGGTGTTAGTTTCTTTTGCTGTGCAGAAGCTCTTTGGTTTAATTAGATCCCATTTGCCTATTTTGGCTTCTGTTGCCATTGCTTTTGGTATTTTAGTCATGAAGTCCTTGCCCATGCCTATGTCCTGAATGGTATTGCCTAGGTTTTCTTCTAGGGTTTTTATGGTTTTAGGTCTTACATTTAAGTCTTTAATCCATCTTGAATTAATTTTTGTATAAGGTGTAAGGAAGGGATGCAGTTTCAGCTTTCTACATATGGCTAGCCAGTTTTCCTGGCACCATTTATTAAATAGGGGAATCCTTTCCCCATTTCTTGTTTTTGTCAGGTTTGTCAAAGATCAGATGGTTGTAGATGTGTGGTGTTATTTCTGAGGCCTCTGTTCTGTTCCATTTATCTATATCTCTGTTTTGGTACCAGTACCAAGCTGTTTTGGTTACTGTAGCCTTGTAGTATAGTTTGAAGTCAGGTAGCGTGATGCCTCCAGCTTTGTTCTTTTGGCCTAGGATTAACTTGGCAATGCGGGCTCGTTTTTGGTTCCACATGAACTTTAAAGTAGTTTTTTTCCAATTCTATGAAGAAAGTCATTGGTAGCTTGATGGGGATGGCATTAAATCTACAAATTACCTTAGGCAGTATGGCCATTTTCACAATATTGATTCTTCCTATCCATGAGCATGGAATGCTCTTCCATTTGTTTGTATCCTCTTTTATTTTGTGAGCAGTGGTTTGTAGTTCTCCTTGAAGAGGTCCTTCACATCCCTTGTAAGTTGGATTCCTGGGTATTTTATTCTCTTTGAAGCAATTGTGAATGGGAGTTCACTCATGATTTGGCGCTTAGTCTGTTATTAGTATATAGGAATGCTTGTGATTTTTGCACATTGACTTTGTATCTTGAGACTTTGCTGAATTTGCTTATTAGCTTGAGGAGATTTTGGGCTGAGATGATGGGGTTTTCTAAATATATAATCATGTCATCTGCAAATAGGACAATTTGACTTCCTCTTTTCCTAATTGAATACCCTTTATTTCTTTCTCTTGCCTGATTGCCCTGGCCAGAACTTCCAACACCACGTTGAATAGGAGTGGTGAGAGAGGGCATCCCTGTATTGTGCCAGTTTTCAAAAAGAATGCTTCCAGTTTTTGTCCATTCAGTATGTATTGGCTGTGGGTTTGTCATAAATAGCTCTTATTATTTTGAGATACATTCCATCAATACCTAGTTTATTGAGAGTTTTTAGCATGAAGGGCTGTTGAATTTTGTCAAAGGCCTTTTCTGCATCTATTGAGATAATCACGTGGTTTTTCCCGATAGTTCTGTTTAAGTGATGGATTACGTTTATTGATTTGTGTTTGTTGAACAAGCCTTGCATCCCAGGGATGAAGCTGACTTGATCGTGGTGGATAAGCTTTTTGATGTGCTGCTGGATTCAGTTTGCCAGTATTTTATTGAGGATTTTCACATCGATGTTCATCAGGAATATTGGTCTAAAATTCTCTTTTTTTGTTGTGTCTCTGCCAGGCTTTGGTATCAGGATGATGCTGGCCTCATAAAATGAGTTAGGGAGGATTCCCTTTTTTTTTCTATCGATTGGAATAGTTTTAGAAGGAATGGCACCAGCTCCTCTTTGTATCTCTGGTAGAATTCGGCTGTGAATCCATCTGGTCCTGGACTTTTTTTGTTGGTAGGCTATTAATTATTGCCTCAATTTCAGAGCCTGTTATTGTTCTATTCAGAGATTCAATTTTTTCCTGCTTTAGTCTTGGGAGGGTATATGTGTCCAGGAATTTATCCATTTCTTCTAGATTTTCATTTGTGTAGAGGTGTTTATAGTATTCTTTGATGGTAGTTTGTATTTCTGTGGGATCAGTGGTGATATCCCCTTTATCATTTTGTATTGTGTCTATTTGATTCTTCTGTCTTTTCTTCTTTATTAGTCTTGCTAGCAGTCTATCAATTCTGTTGATCTTTTCAAAAAACCAGCTGCTGGATTCATTGATTTTTTTCTGTCTCTATATCCTTCAGTTCTGCTCTGATATTAGTTATTTCTTGCCTTCTGCTAGCTTTTGAATTTATTTGCTCTTGCTTCTCTAGTTCTTTTAATTGGGATGTTAGGGTGTTGATTTTAGATCTTTCCAGCTTTCTCCTGTGGGCATTTAGTGCTATAATTTCCCTCTACACACTGTTTTAAATGTGTCCCAGAGATTCTGGTACGTTGTGTCTCTGTTCTCATTGGTTTCAAAGAACACCTTTATTTCTGCCTTCATTTTGTTATTTACCCAGTAGTCATTCAGGAGCAGGTTGTTCAGTTTCTATGTAGTTGTGTGGTTTTGAGTGAGATTCTTAATCCTGAATTCTAATTTGAGTGCACTGTGGTCTGAGAGACAGTTTGTTGTGATTTCTGTTCTTTTACATTTGCTGAGGAGTGCTTTACCTCCATCTATGTGGTCAATTTTGGAATAAGTGCAATGTGGTGCTGAGAAGAACATATATTCTGTTGATTTGGGGTAGAGAGTTCTGTAGATGTCTATTAGGTCCGCTTGGTGCAGAGCTGAGTTCAAGACCTGGATATCCTTGTTAACCTTCTATCTCGTTGATCTCTCTAATATTGCAAGTGGGGTGTTAAAGTCTCCCATTATTATTGTGTAGGAGTCTAAGTCTCTTTGTAGGTCTCTAAGGACTTGCTTTATGAATCTGGGTGCTCTGTATTGGGTGCATATATATTTGGGATAGTTAGCTCTTCTTGTTTAATTGATCCCTTTACCATGATATAATGGCTGCCTTTGTCTCTTTTGATCTTTGTTGGCTTAAAGTCTGTTTTATCAGAGACTAGGATCGCAACCCCTGCTTTTTTTTTTTGCTTTCCATTTGCTTTGTAGATCTTCCTCCATCCCTTTATTTTGAGCGTATGTGTGTCTCTGCAGGTGAGATTGGTCTCCTGAATACAGCACACTGATGGATCTTGACTCTTTATCCAATTTGCCAGTGTGTGTCTTTTAATTGCAGGCATTTAGCCCATTTACATTTTAGGTTAATATTGTTATGTGCGAATTTCATCCTGTTATTATGATGTTAGCTGGTTATTTTGCTCGTTAGTTGATGCAGTTTCTTCCTAGCAACCATGGTCTTTACAATTTGGCATGTTTTTGCAGTGGCTGCTACTGGTTGTTTCTTTCCATGTTTAGTGCTTCCTTCAGGAGCTCTTGTTGAGGCAGGCCTGGTGGTAACAAAATCTCTCAGCGTTTGCTTGTCTGTAAAGGATTTTATTTCTCCTTCACTTATGAAGCTTAGTTTGTCTGGATATGAAATTCTGGGTTGAAAATTCTTTTCTTTAAGAATGTTGAGTATTTGCCCCCACTCTTTTCTAGCTTGTAGAGTTTCTGGAGAGAGATCCGCTGTTAGTCTGATGGGCTTCCCTTTATGGGTAACCCGACCTTTCTCTCTGGCTGCCCTTAACATTTTTTCCTTTATTTCAACCTTGGTGAATCTGACAATTATGTGTCTTGCAGTTGCCCTTCTCGAGGAGTATCTTTGTGGTGTTCTCTGTATTTCCTGAATTTGAATGTTGGCCTGCCTTGCTAGGTTGGGGAAGTTCTCCTGGATAACATCTTGAAGAGTGTTTTCCAACTTGGTTCCATTCTCCCTGTCACTTTCAGGTATACCAATCAAATGTAGATTTGGTCTTTTCACATAGTCCCATATTTCTTGGAGGCTTTGTTCATTTCTTTTTACTCTTTTTTCTCTAAACTTCTCTTCTTGCTTTATTTCATTAATTTGATCTTCAATCACTGATACTCTTTCTTCCACTCGATCAAATCAGCTATTGAAGCTTGTGCATGAAACAGATAGTTCTTGTGCCATGGTTTTCAGCTCCATCAGGTCATTTAAGGTCTTCTCTACACGTTTATTCTAGTTAGCCATTCATCTCATCTTTTTTCAAGATTTTTAGCTTCCTTGTGATGGGTTCATACATCCTCCTTTAGCTCGGAGAAGTTTGTTATTACTGACCTTCTGAAGCCTAGTTCTGTCAGTTCATCAAAGTCATTCTCCATCCAGCTTTGTTCCATTGCTGGCGAGGAGCTGTGATCCTTTGGAGAAGAAGAGGTGCTCTGGTTTTTAAATTTTTCAGCTTTTCTGCTCTGGTTTCTACCCATCTTTGTGGTTTTATCTACCTTTGGTCTTTGATGTTGGTGACCTACAGATGGGGTTTTGGTGTGGATGTCCTTTTTGTTGATGTTGATGCTATTCCTTTCTGTTTGTTAGTTTTCCTTCTAACAGTCAGGTCCCTCAGGTGCAGGTCTGTTGGAGTTTGCTGGAGGTACACTCCAGACCCTGTTTGCCTGGGTATCACCAGCGGAGGCTGCAGAACAGCACATATTGCTGCCTGATCCTTCCTCTGGAAGCTTTGTCCCAGACGGGCACCTGCCTATATGAGGTGTCAGTCAGCCCCTACTGGAAGGTCTCTCCCCAGTTAGGCTACACAGGGTTCAGGGACCCACTTCAGGAGGCAGTCTGTCCATTCTCAGAGCTCAAACACCATGCTGGGAGAACCACTGCTCTCTTCAGAGCTGTCAGACAGGGACGTTTAAGTCTGCAGAAGTTTCTGCTGCCTTTTGTTCAGCTATGCCCTGCCCCCAGAGGTGGAATCTACAGAGGGAACAGGCCTTGCTGAGCTGCGGTGGGCCCCACCAAGTTTGAGCTTCCCCAGCTGGCTTTGTGTACCTACTCAAACCTCAGCAATGGCAGACGCCCTTCCCCCTCCCAGGCTGCTGCCTCAGAGGTCGATCTCAGACTGCTGCCCTAGCAGTGAGCAAGACTCTGTGGGTGTGGGTCCTGCCAAGCCAGGCATGGGATGTAATCTCCTGGTGTGCCATTTGCTAACACCATTGGAAAAGCGTAGTATTTGGTCAGGAGTGTCCTGATTTTCCAGGTACAGTCTGTCATGGCTTCCCTTGGCCAGGAAAGGGAAATCCCCTGACCCCTTGAGCTTCCCAGGTGAGGAGATGGCCCACCCTGTTTTTGTTCCTCTGAGGGCTGCACCCACTGTCCAACCAGTCCCAATGAGATGAACCAGGTGCCTCGGTTGGAAATGCAGAAATCACCCATCTTCTGCATTGATCACACTGGGAGCTGTAGACCAGAGCGATTTGGCCATCTTGGAACAGAATCCTGGAATTTTCAACATTTTTCATTTGGCTTATCTTTCCTTTGGTACTAAAAGAAGTTCAAAAGTCATGGTAATAATATGTTTTAAAAAATCTACAGGTGATTATTTACTGATGTTAATTAATGTTTATAATAAAACAAAGGAAAGAATACACATCAGTTCCTACAGTGTACTCTCATTTATGTGTGCATACATATATACATGTGCAAATGCATACACATCCAGAAGGTACTAGGCCAATGCACTTTGTTTAGTTTTGGCTTTGGTTTTTTTAAATAATTGCTTTTAAGGATATGGCATAAATAATAGTAATATTTCTAAAACTGAAATTTGTCTTTGACTAGGAAAAAAAATAAGGAACTCCCTTATAGGATACACAATGAATTATGATATCTTCTATGGTTTGAATGTTTTTATTCCCTCCAAAATTCATGTATTGGAAACTTAATCATGAGGGTAACAGTGTTGGGAAATGGGACCTAAAGGGAGGTGTCTAGGTCATGAGGGCAGAGTGGATTCATGCTGTTATAAAAGGTGCTCCTGGGAGTGTGCTCTCTCTTGCACTTCCCCCTTCTGCCATGTGAGGAAGAAGGTCCAACACCAGATGCTGGTAACTTGATCTTGGATTTCTCAGCCTCTATAACTGTAAGAAATAAATTTCTGTTCTCTATAAACTATCTAGTCTCTGGTACTCTAGTAAAGCAGCACAAAACAGACTAAAACATTATTGTCAAGAATTCAATGGGTAATATCAGTGAAACTTTCTTACAACAGAATGAATCATGAGAAAAAGTGTAGTTGTTGATGATGTTCCCTTGAAGTATACCTTTCAGGATATACTGATATTTAGTAAAAAATAGCTTTGGTTTTTTCACTTTAAAAGGAACAGAACTACCTCTCATTTGTATAATGTGAGTCTCCAAAAAATTGTTAGACAAGAAAAATTTAAAAATTCAATTATTTTCAGTTTAGCGAATGCTGTTGAGTACATGTTTTACGTGCTAGGGTCTAAAGGGAATAATAATAGAATAAGACTTTGTTTTTGTACAAGAACTTGTACAAGCCCTGGGTATTTTGGAGACTTAGATCAACTATTTTGTTTGAGACCCATAACTAATAACCACTAACTTATAAAGCACTTATAGGATGTCCAAACATTATCCTAAGCAGTCTATCTATTTAATTCTTATAAGAACTCCAGTGAAATAAATACTCTTATTAGCATTATTTTATATTTGGGTAATCATTTTACATTGCACAATTGATGAAGCTACATTGATGTGTCATCACTCAAAGTTTAGTTCACATTAGGGCTCACTTGGTGTACATTCTATGGGTTTTGAAAAATGTATAATGCCAGGTATGTTAGTCCACTTTGTATTGCTATGAACGAATACCTGAGACTGGGTAATTTATAAAGATAAGAGGTTTATTTGGCTCACTGTTCTAGAGGCTGTACAAGAAGGCACCAGCATCTTTATATTTGGGTAAAGCACAGAAAGTTAACTAATGTGCCCAAGGCAGCATAGCTATTAACTGGAAAACCAGGGACTAGATTCATGCTAGTCTAGCTCCAGAGTCTGTGTCCTTTAGTCATGTGATATAGGCATGAGTATAGACACTGTGCTATACAACTTCATCCCGAAGGCTCTCCTCCTCTGTTATTCTACTTCCAGAATCCCTGTATTAGTCAGGGTTCTCTAAAGGGACAGAACTAACAGGATAGATGTACGTACGAAGGGGAGTTTATTAAGGAGTATTGGCTCACACGATCACAAAGTGAAGTCCCACAATAGGCCCTCTGCAAGCTGAGAGGCAAGGAAGCCAGTCTAAGTCTCAGAACCTCGAAAGTAGCGAAGCCGACAGTGTAGCCTTCAGTCTGTGGCTGAAGGCTGGAAAGCTTCTGGCAAACAACTGGTGTAGATCCAAGAGTCCAAAAGCTGAAGAACTTGGAGTCCAATGTTCGAGGGCAGAAAACATCCAGCACAGGAGAAAGATGGAGGCCAGAAGACTCAGCCAGTGTAGTCCTTCCACATTCATCTGCCTGCTTTTATCCTATCCATGTTGGCAGCTGAATAGATGATGCCCACCCAGATTGAGGGTGGGTCTGCCTCTCCCAGTCCACTGAGTCAAATGTTAATCTCCTTTGGCAGCATCCTCACAGACACACCCAGGAACCATACTTTGTAATCTTCGGTCCAATCAAGTTGACACTTAATATTAACCATTACAATCCCCATTGTGGTAAACAAGTTCTAGCTTAAAAAAGCATTTTGAAGACTCATTTCCAAGGGTTTTTGTATTTTTATGAGTTTTATAATTATTTATTTTACTATGAATTTTTGTTAAAAAATCTTTTACAGTTTTGAGTTTGTCTTTGTGCTGGTGATTTATGTTTTACATTTTTCTTCCTTTCTGTTCTCATCCATCTTCACTATGTTTTTCTCATCCTCATGATTCCTTGTTTTTTTTAAAAAAATTGCCTTTTTAGTTATTATTCTTTATTTTTGTTCTTCTACGCTTTAAAGTTATTTGTATATCTTTTTATAAAGAGATGTTATTTTTAGAGCAGCTTTAGATTCCCTGCGATACTGAACAGAAGGTTGAAGTTTCATGTACCCCCTGCCCCCACATATGCATAATCTACCCTATTATCAACCTCCCCCACCAGAATGGTACATTTGTTGCAATTGCTGAATCTACATTGATGCATCATCACCCAAAGTTTATAGTTTACATTGGGGCTCACTCTTGGTGTATATTCTATTGGTTTTGAAAAATGTGTAATGATAGGTTTGTTAGTCCATTTTGCATTGCTGTAAAGGAATATCTGAGACTGGTAATTTATAAAGAAAAGAGGTCTATTTGGCTCACTGTTTTCAGGCTGTACAAGAAGCACAGCACCATCCTCTGCTTCTGGTCAGGACCTCAGGAAGATTTTACTCATGGCAGAAGGCAAAGTGGGAGCTGGTGTGTCACATGGCAAGAGAGAGCAAGAGAGAAGGGAGCAAAAGAGGGAGGAGGAGGTGCCAGGTTCCTTTAAACAACCAACTCTTGTGTGAACTAATAGAGCAAGAACTCATTACCATGGGGAGGGCACCAAATCATTCATGAGGAATCCTCATGACCCAAACACCTCCCACCAGACCCCACCTCCAACACTGGGGATCAAATTTCAACATGAGATTTGGAGGGGAAAAACATCCAAATCATATAAATAGGAATCCACAGCTATAGTATTATACAGAGTAGTTTCAATGCTCTAAAAAATCATCCGGACTCCACCTAGTCATCCTTCTCTCCCCTCTAATCCTTGAAAAACCACTGATCCTTTTACTGTCTCTGTAGTTTTACCTTTTCCAGAATGTCATATATTTGGGATCTTATAATATATGGCCTCTTTCATTTAGTAATTGGCTTCTTTCATTTAGTAATGTATCTTTACATTTCACCCATGTCTTTTCATGGATTATAGCTCATTTCTTTTTTAACATCAAATAATATTCCATTGTTCCACGTACCACAGTTTATCTGTTCACCTACTGAAGAACATTTTGGTTGCTTCCACTTTTTGGCACTTATGGATAAAGCTGCTATAAACAACCATGTGCAAGATTTTATGTGGGCATAAGTTTTCACATCTTTTCTTTGGGTGAACACCAAGAAGTATGATTGCTGGATCATATGGTAAGAGTATGTTTAGATGTCTAAGAAACTGCCAAACTGTCTTCAGAAGTGGCTATACCACTTTGCATCTCCACCAGCAAGGAATGAGAGTTCCTGTTACTCCATATATTCTCGCCAGCATTTGGTGATGTCCATGTTCTGGGTTTTGACTTTTCTAATACATGTGTAGTGGTGCCTCATTGTTTTCATTTTCATTTCCCTGATGACATATGATATGAAGTATCTTTTTATAGCTTATTTGCAATCTATATATCTTTTTAGAGAGGTATCTGTTAAGGTCTTATCAAATCAGCTTGTTTTATTTTTATTCTTGAGTTTTAACAGTTCTTTGTATATTTTGTAAAACAGTTCCTGATCAGATATATTTTCTCCAAGTCTGTGGCTTGTCTTCTCATTGTCTTGACAGTGTTTTTCACTGTCAAGTGAAAAACATTTTACATTTTAATGAAATCCAAATTATCAATTCTTTCTTTCATGGATTGTGTCTCTTAGTATTGTATTCATGATATCATTTGTTTATCTATTCTGCTTAGGTCGTTTTGCCTTTTTTGCCTTTATTTTTAGGTTTTCTTTATGTGAAATGTTTATTTTAAATTTTGTTCATTTTAATAACTTAGAAGACTTTCATTTTCTGAAACTTTTATTTATTAGTATTATTATTCCACTTTCTTAGTGTTTTTATTGTTTTGGAAATGATGGGAGTCTGAAGTTTGCTGTTTTTCTCTGGATCTCACCCTTGGAGATCATACACACACACAGACACACACACACACACACACAGACACACACACACACACAGCAGGCTGGTTAAAGAAGACCTGAGAAATGAATGTAGACATTCATTTCTCACTGGAGGAAGTCCTCAGGGACATCAAACTGGGTAGGGAGAGCTTTGTCTACAAACATCTTCTCTCTCTGATGCTACTCTGAGAGGTGGATGGCCCTCTTGTTTTTATTGCAGTGCAAGAGCTACACCAGCCTAACATCAGCAGGCTGTGGAGAACATGAGAGCAGCCCTGCACATTTCTGTGCTGAGCAGAAGACAGTAGGCATAGGGAGCCTGTATTAGTCTGCTCTTGCATTGCTATAAATAAATACTTGAGACTGGGTAATTTATAAAGAAAAGAGGTTTAATTAGCTCACAGTTCTGCAGGCTGTACAGGAAGCATGACACTGGTATCTGCTTGGCTTCTGAGGAGACCTCAGGAAACTTACAATCATGGTGGAAGGAGGACAAGTTGCAAGCACCTCAAACGGTAGGAGCAGGAGCAAGAGACGTAGAGGAGGTGTTATACACTGTTAAATGACCAGATCTCCCAAGAACTCACTATCACGAGGATGATACCAACAGGGGGATGGTGTTAAACCATTCATGAGAAACCTGCCCCCATGATCCAGTCACCTCCCACCAGGCCTCACCTCCAACACTGGGGATTAAAATTCAACATGAGATTTGGTGAGGACACAAATCCAAATCATATCACAGCCTAACTAGATCCAGAGCAGCTTCAATTTTGGCGGAAGGTGAGTCACATGGTTAGACTTAAGTTTTTATTCTTTTCAAACTGGATGTATAATTCTCCTAAAGCTGTATAAAGTCTTAAAACAAAAAATCCTAATAATCAGCCTCTTAGATATAAGGGTTGACAGAGTTGTCGAAGATGGTTCTGGGCTGGGCACAGTGGCTCACGCCTGTAATCCCAACACTTTGAGAGGCCAAAGAGGGATGATTGCTTGAGGCCAGGAGTTCAAGATCAGCCTGGGCAACATAGTGAGACCCTATCTCTATAAAAGATGTTAAAAATTAGCCAGGCATGGTGGCATGCACCTGTAGTCCCAGCTACTTGGGAAGCTGAGGCAGGATGATTGCTTGAGCCCAGGAGGTCAAGGCTACAGTGAGCTGTGATTATACCATTGCATTTCAGCCTTGGGTACAGAGAAAGACCTTGTCTCTAAAATAATAATAACAATAATAATAATGATGGTTCTGAATTCTGGAGTCTGGAGCCTGGACAGCAAAAAGAAATGAAGCTCTCTAGAAGACAATCTAGGTTTTTGTTTTGTTTTGTTTTATTGTGTAGGGGACAGAGGGGAGTGATGCATGGGTTCATTATCAGAGTTTGAGGCAATGTTGGACTATCATGTGTAATCCCTAGGAGGCAATATAATTTTGGAACTTTGAAGAGAAAGTGCCAGGCTGGTGGTACAAAGGAGGAGAGATGGAGGGTGGAGGTGAGAGGAAGAATAACTTTCCACATGATAATAGGGAAAGAGAAAAAGAGCATGAGAGAAGACAGGTGAGAAAGCAGGATTCAAATCAAAGCCAGTGTTTTGTTGTTGTTGTTCTTTGTTTGTTTAAGAGACACAGTTTCACTCCACTGCCCAGGCTGGAGTGCAGTGCAGTGGCACAATCATAGCTTACTGTAACCTTGAACTCCTGGGCTCAATTGATCCTCCTGCCTCAGCCTCCCAAGTAGCTAGGACTACAGCTGCATGCCACCACACTCTGATAATTAAAATTTTTTTTTTTGTAGAGACAAGGTATTGCTATTTTGTCCAGGTTGGTCTCAAACTCCTGGCCTCAAGCAATCCACCCACCTTGGCCTCCCAAAGCACTAAGATTATACACATGAGCCACTGCGCCTGGCCCACAGTGTTTATTACAGAGAGAGACGCTGGCAGAAAGGAGACCACAGAACGTGCCCACACCAATTTACCTTTACATTTGTAATTTAGGAAATTCCGAGTGGAAATCACTAGCTTAGAGGCAAAATTGATACCAATGGCTTGCAATGAGAGGGGATCATTTGAAGCAACCACTGTAGCGACTGCAATATAAACAAGAAATAAATCTAAGACAACCAAATGGAATGAGAGACAAAAGGATAAACAGGGAAGTTAAGTTAGATGGACAGAACAGCTTTGCAAGTATTGATAGCAGCAGTTGCCACCTCTCTCCACCCTTTGGATGTGTCTCATCTTTGGATCGCCTTCCCTGGCCCACCATCTGAGCTGATGAGATTTGACAGGTGGCTGGCTTCCAGTAGTTCTTTTCTCCTTTATGCCCTGTGATTTGAGTCAATACAGAAACTCTGACTCAATGATATCTTCAGTGGTAGGTACAATAATCACAACCTCTGCTGTCCTTCCTTCAGACACTGCCTCTGCCACAATTCCTTTCCATCATGACTCCCCAACCCTTACTTCCAGCCATCCTAAACTTTCCTAGGATCTTCTAACATTTAGTCTTGACAGATTCTGGAGAAACTTCATGAGTACCATTTTGAGAGATATTGTTATTTAGAATGACATAAAGAATGCTTTCCCAATGTCCAGATGGATTCCATAGCCATTATCTCATTTGATCCACAAACTGGTGAAAAGAAGTAATTCTACTGCCCAGTCACAAAACTACTTAGCAACAGATCAGAACCTAGAAACACCAGGTATCCTAGTTGCTGGGTTTATACCTTTTGTTGTTGTTGTTCATATTTTTTTTATTGTTACCAAAAAGGACAGTTTGATTTAGAGGTACAGTAATAATGTTCTCCAGATATTGGTGCCCAGAGCCAATATTTAACATTTTTGAAAGAGTAAGCTTGATAGAAACTGCATGTTCTTACCCCAGTTGGAAAAATCAGATTCCCAGGAGTCTAACTGAGCATTGAGGTTCAGTACTTCAGAGCTGCTAAAAACAGCAATTACACAGGGCACAACACTGATTTGCATTCACACAGCTCTTCTTTCCTCTGGGAACCTCAGAGCCTATAACAAATACTCACTTATCTATTTCCATGTTGAGACAATGCCCCCCTTTCAAGGCACCCAAAGCAGTTTGCATATATTAATCTACCCAGTAAACAATTACGGCATTAATGAGGGTTAAAAGAAGTTGAAGGAAATCTAGATTCCCAAACCTGCTCAAATTTAGGGGTCATCTGACCCTTTAATATGAGCAGACTCTCAAGCCAAATGTAGTTAGATTTTCATAAAAGGTGCTACTCGAGACAAGTTCATTATCAGTGGGCTCAGTGGACCACCCCTGTTAACATTACCTGGGTGAGCCAAATGTGGTGGCATGGGCCTGTA
Source organism: Homo sapiens (assembly GCF_000001405.40). Taxonomy (NCBI): domain Eukaryota; kingdom Metazoa; phylum Chordata; class Mammalia; order Primates; family Hominidae; genus Homo; species Homo sapiens. The sequence continues at coordinate 233,778,074 of NC_000001.11, forward strand.
GTCCCGACTACTCTAGAGAATCATTTGAGCCCAGTACTTTGAGACCATCCTGGGCAACATAGTAAAAGCTCATCTCAGAAACAAAACATTATCTTGGGTGCTTAGTAAAAATGAGGGTTACTTGTCTCCACCTCAGAGCTACTGAATCAAAATCTCTGAGTGGCAGGAACCTGAAATCTGAATTTTAACGAGCTTCTTTGATTCTTGTGTAACCATCGCCTGAATAGTGTACATTGTACCTCTTGGGTAATTTCTCATCCCTTAGCCCCCTTCCACCCTCCCACCTCCAATGCCTATGATTCTCCTCTCAAAGTCCCTGTGTACACATTATTTAGTTTCCACTTTAAGTGAGAAGATGCAGTATTTGAATGTTTCTGAGTTATTTTACTTAACATTATGTCCTCCAGTTCCATCCATGTTGTTGCAAAAGATATGATTTCATTCTTTTTTATGGCTGAGTAGTATTCTATGGTATATATATATATATATATAATATATCAGTAGTATTCTATGTATATTCTATGTAGTATTCTATGGTATATATATATATGTATATTATATATATGTATATTATATATATATATATATATCTCGGTAGTATTCTATGTCTATATACCATAGAATTCTACTCAGCCATAAAAAAGAATATATATATATACTTGAGCCTGGGAGTATATATATATTTATATAAATCTTGTCTCTACCAAAAAATTTTAAAATCTGTCAGAGTGTGTTTGCATGCACCTGTAGTCCTAGCTGCTCGGGAGGCTGAGGCAGGAAGATCAACTGAGCCCAGGAGTTCAAAAGTTACAGTGAGTTATATGTATATGCCACATTTTCTTTATTCAATCATCGGTTGATGGACACTTAAGTTGGCCTATATCTTTGCTATTGTGAATGGTGCTGTGATAAACATACAAGTGCAGGTTGTCTTTTTGATATAATGATTTATTTTCCTTTTGATATATAACCAGTAGAGAAATTGCTGAATCAAATGGCAGCTCTATTTTAGTTCTTTTAGAAATCTTCATACTGTTTTCCATAGGGTTTATACTAATTTACATTCCTATCAATAGTGGATAAGCATTCCTCTTTCTCTGCATCCTTACCAACATCTGTTGTTTTTTTGCCTTTTTAATAATGGCCATTCTGATTGGTGTGAGATAATATCTCATGGTGCTTTTAATTTGCATTTCTCTGATGATTAGCAATGTTGAGCATTTTTTCATATATTTGTTGGTCATTTATATGTCTTCTCTTAAGAAGTGTCTGTTCACATCTTTTGCTCACTTTTTAATGGGATTATTTGTTTTTTGTTGTTGAATTATTTGAGTTTCTTATAGATTCTGGATATTAGTCCTTTGCCAGATACATCATTTACATATATTTTCTCCCATGCCATAGGTTATCTGTTTACTCTGTTACTTCCTTTGCTGTACAGAAGCTCTTTAGTTTCATTAAGTCCCATTTGTCTATTTTTGTTTTTGTTGAATTTGTTTTTTAGTTTTTAGGTCTTAGTGATAAATTCTTTGCCTAGGCCAATGTTTTTCCTAGGTTTTATTTTCCTAGGTTTTATTCTAGAATTTTTATTGTTTTTACTCTTACATTTAAGTTTTTTTGCTTTGTTTTGTTTTTTTAAGATGGAGTCTTACTGTGCCACCAAGTCACCCAGACTGGAGTGCAGTGGTGTGACCTCAGCTCACTGCAGCCTCTGCCTCCCAGGCTCAAGTAATCCTCTCACCTCAGCCTCCCGAGTAGTTGAGACCGCAGGGCATCATGCCCAGCTAATTTTTGTATTTTTGGTAGAGTGAAGAATTCACCATATTGCTCAGGCTGGTCTCAAACTCCTGAGCTCAAGCAATCTGCCCACCTCAGCCTCTCAAAGTGCTGGGATTCCAGGCATGAGCCACTGTGCCCAGCCACATTTAAGTCTTTAATCTATCTTGAGTTAATTTTTGTATATGGTGAGAGATAGAGGTCCAGTTTCATTCTACTGCATATGGCCATCCAGTTTTCTCAGGACCACTTATTAAATAGGGTGTCCTTTCTCCAGTGTATGTTTTTGCCTACTTTTCAAAGATCAGTTGTCTGTAGGTATGTGGCTTTAGGCTTTATTTCTGGGCTCTCTATTCTGTTTTATTGATCCATGTGTCTATTTTTACATCAGTACCATGCTGTTTTGGTTACTGTAGCTTTGTAGTATAATTTAAAGTCAGGTAATATGATGCCTCCAGCTTTGTTCTTTTTGCTTAGGATTGTTTTGGCTATTCAGGCTCTTGTTTTTTTTTGTTGTTGTTGTTTGTTTGTTTGTTTTTTTGCTTTCACATGAAATTCGGATTGGTTTTTCTAATTCTGTGACACATGATGTTGGCGTTTTAATAAGAATTGCATTGAATCTGTAGATGTGAGGAAGTGTTGACAGAACATGGCTGTGTTCTTGTCCAAATAGTGGGGGAGGGAGTGGCAAACACATGCACATAAGAGCCTGGCAGAGTAGCATGAAGCCAGAGGTGGGAAGAGAAGAAGCTGGGCCAGAGCTATGGGTCTGGGGCCAGTGTTACCTGTTCCATCATCTTCCAGCCCAGAAGAGAAAACAGATTTTAGTTAAGGTGATTGGGTTGCCTTTGTCACTTATATGTTTTAGTCATCTGGTATGTAGCCTGTATTTGTACCCTTGTCCTCGACTGTGCAAGTGTTGGGATGAACCTGAGTGTCTCGTGAACATGTTTTAGTTTTAAGGATTTAGACTTCGGAAAGTGCATTATTCTTTCTCATTATTCTAATTTCTAAAACCTGCATCGAGTTTACTTCACAAGCAATACCCAGGGTGAGTAGCTGTGTTCCTAAACCATCTGCACAGACCTCAAACTCAGTTCCTCGATAACACAGCCCAGATTGACTAAGACAATCCTGGTTGCTTCTTTTTTTCTGAATTTTTAGGGCATTTTACCATCTCTAAGTTTCATTATTGTTCTTAAGCATATGCTCTATCACAGCAATATTTAAATTTCTTGTATGTAGATCTTACCTCTCAATTTAATGTTTAGGTTTCTTGTACATCTTTCCTTGCTTCAGCCATGCCTAGCACATTTGTACTTAGTGAATACTTCTACAACAGTGGGTGACCGTCGATTGCTGGACAAACAAGCAAGCCTGGTCCATGCTAAGCTGGAAAATTAGTGTTCTATTTTCCTGACTTCCAGCCCAGGAACTTGATTAGTTGTGAAGCCCTATGCAACAATAAGGCAGAGAGTGAGAGTATCCAGCCCTGTTTCTATGCCTCCTTTACCCATGCATGCTCAGAGGGCTGTGCATTTGCGAGAAACGTATTTCTTGTACCAAATTTTCCAATTATTTTCATTATCTAGATGGAAGTTCTTTTAAGAATTCATGTTTTACCTGACTGTACAGCACTCCAGACTCCGATACATTTGTACTTAAATAATGTTTTTAAGGGTGTTTTTAAGGGTTTTTTTGTTTTCTTCAATCATGATTTAGGGAGCATCACCCAGGCTGTATTTGCAAAACCACAGATGCTAATATCCAGCCATCTTGTTTGAAAGCAAAAAGTAATTATCAAAAGAGAGACATACAGGCCAGGCGTAGTGACTCATGCCTGTAATCCCAACACTTTGGGAGGCCGAGGCGGGTGGATCACCTGAGGTCAGTAGTTGGATACCAGCCTGGCCAACATGGTGAAACCCCGTCTAAATACTAAAAATACAAAAATCAGTCAGGTGTGGTGGTGTGTGCCTGTAGTCTAAGCTACTCAGGAGGCTGAGGCAGGAGAATTTCTTGAACCTGGGAGGTGGAGGTTGCAGTGAGCTGAGATCACGCCACTGCACTGCAGCCTGGGCAATGGAATGAGACCCTGTCTCAAAAAAAAAAAAAATTACAGAGAGAGACAGCCATATTGTCATATGATTTTTAAAGACAGGGATACATTCTGAGAAATGCTTCATTAGGCAATTTTGTGATTGTGTGAACATCATAGTATATTCACACAAACCTAGAAAGTGAAGCCTACTACACATCTAGACTCTGTGGTATATAGCCCATTGCTTCTAGGCTACAAATGTTTTCAGCACATTACTGTACTGAATACTGTAGGTAATTATATAACCCAATGGTGGGTATTTATATATCCAAATATATCTAAACACAGACATGGTACGGTAAAATGTGGTATAAAAGATTAAAAATGATAATACATGTATAAGGCACTCACCATGAATGGAGCTTGCAGGGCTGGAGGTTGCTCTGGATGAGTCAGTAAAAGAGTGATGAGTGAATGTGAAGGCTGAGGACATTATTGTAATGTAGAATTTACAAACATTTTATACCTAAGTCACACTAACATTTCTACAAAATATTTTTCTTTCTTCAGTAATAAATTAACTTTAGCTTACTGTAACTTTTTTTTACTTTATAAATTTCTAATTTTTTTTAAGTTTTTAACTCTTTGGTGATAACAGCTTAAAACACAAACATTGTACAGCTGTATGAAAAATATCTTGTGTGTCCTTATTGTATAAGCTATTTATCAATTAAATTTTTTTTAACTTTTTACACTTTTTTGTTACAAACTAAGACACAAACACACACACTAGCCTGGGCCTACACAGGGTCAGGATCATCACTATCACTGCCTTCCACCTCCACATCTTGTCCCACTGGAAGGTCTTCAGGGACAATGACACTCATGGAGCTGTCATCTCCTGTGATAATAATGCCTTCTTCTGGATTCCTCCGAAGGACCTGCCTGAGGCTGTTGAACAGTTACCTTTTTTTTTTTTTTTTAATGAGTAGAAGGAGTACACTCTAAAATAATGACAAAAAAGTATGTATGATAGATACATAAACCAGTATGCATTTAACACTGGTAATAAATGACTAATAGTATATATTTACCTTACCATACTATAAGTCATTTTTTACCATTATTAAGTATTATGAACTGTACATAATTGTATGTGCTATATTTTTATACAACTGGCAGTGCAGTGGGTTTCTCTACAGCAGCATCACCACAAACACACGAGCAATGTGATGTTATGACGTTACCATGGCTACGACATCACCAGGCAATAGGTATTTCTCAGCTCCATTATAATCTTTTGGTACCACCGACACATATGCAGTACGTCATTGACCAAATTGTTATGTGGTGCACGGCTGTATTACCTCTGAAAGCCATGTTTGCTTTAAAAAAATTATATCCCAGGGACTGGCAGAGATTAAAATATAAATAATCCAACCCACCTTTCAAAATGTGCTAACCTGTCTCAATAAAATAAATAAATAAATAAATAAATAAATAAATAAATAAATAAATAAAGGCTTGGATCATTCAACACATTTAAGGGTCACAGAGAGCTGTTCACAGTGGGCTGAAAAGCATACACTCAGTGAATTAACTGCGCCTGTGCCTTCTGCGAACCGTGCTCATGAGCTTCTTCCTTGGCCTAGTTTCTCAAAATTTAGACAAAACAAAGTAGATGGCAATGTGGCAGAATTCTATCTGTTTGGTAGGTCCTCAATTAACACTGACCACCCAGGTTCTGGTGGTTATTTTTAAACCCCTGTTGATGAGATTCTCCATGTTTAAAAGGATAAAAATTGTTTGTGTTTCTGGTGGCTGAAACACAAGAATCGCTTGAACCCGGGAGACGAAAGTTGCGGTGAGCTGAGATCGCACCATTGCACTCCAGTCTGGGCGACAAAGCGAGACTCTGTCTCACACACACAAAAAGAAATATCCACGAGGCGCTGTCCTTCCTGCAAAAAGTGGCAAGCAAGTGGGAGAGAGATGCACTCACACAAGCCTGAGATGAGCAGAATGTGATAGGTGCTGTAATGAGCTACCAAGGGCACAGGAAACGAAGATATTCATTACAAATTGGTGACAGGGTGTGGAAAATTGAGTAAGAATTCCTACAGGAGCTGACATCTGAGTTGAATCTTACAGATGAGGTGAAATTTCATCAGGAAGTGATGGGAGAGAGGAGGATGTGCTACAAAAGTAAAAGTGCAGACAGAACAAATGTGGGGACACAGGCGTCTGCTGGGTTTGGGGAACGCCACATCTTCTGTTACAGTTAGAGAAGAGAGGGAATGGAGTTCGGTGAGAAGCAAAGCAGCTAAATAGAGGTTAGGGAAGACCACGCAGAGACAGAAATGCGTGACAGTTTTGTGGGCAGTTTTACTTCTGTGGCAGTTACACAATTGGAAAGTCACCCAGTGAGGTGTGCATAGGTTCACATTATAAAGTGGCAAGGCCAGGAGAGATGCTCCTAGAGATACTAAGATCGGGGCAACATTGTGAGAGCATTGGTATGTCAGGGCCATGATTATCCTATGAAGAGAGCTTGGGTACACCTGCTAGCTTGGTATTTATACTTACCATGTGATCAGTGGGTAAAATATCACAGAGGCAGGTGTGTAAGTGAATGTTATGCGTGGATAAGAGGTGCGGTCCATGTTCATAGATGAGCCAATGATAAAACAAAACTCCAGCTTGTGACTATAATATTCTACCTCCACCTGTATCACTTACCTTGCATTTTCCCACTCTCATTTTAATGTCCCCTTGATTGAAGATTGTAACTGCAAAACTCTGTTGCTACCTGGGTCATCTAGCCTTCTGTCACAGCGTTTCTCAGCCATTTTTTTCACTTTTGCATTGCTAAAGAGAAAAATTAATTAGGCTTAATTTAATTTAAATATTTATTAAGTTAGCAAATTTAAATTAAATTTAAATGTTTACTGAATAAATTAATTTAGATTTAAATTAGGCTACCTGTCTTTATAATGAAAGAAGCTTAATACTAAGGAATAAGACTTTGTTCATAGGGTTGAGCTTCCAAGAGCCACAAACCATTATAATATGCTAAGATTTTTTTATATGCTCCCACCAACCATGAACTGGTTTTCACCCTGCTGGTAGTGATATCACCCCCATTGAAAGTGCATGTTCTATGCCCATGTGTGTTTATGGTAGACTATTTACAATAGAAAAGGCTTGGAACCAACCCAAATGCCCATCAATGATAGACTGGATAAAGAAAATGTGGCACATATACACCATGGAATATTATGCAGCCATAAAAAGAAGAGTTCATGTCCTTTGCAGGGACATGGATGAAGCTGGAAGCCATCATTCTCAGCAAGCTGACACAGGAACAGAAAACCAAATACCGCATGTTCTCACGCATAGGTGGGAGGTGAACAATACGAACACATGGACACAGGGAGGGGAACATCACACACTGGGCTTTTTAGGGGGTGGGAGGCAAGGGGAGGGAGAGCATTGGGAGAGATACCTAATGCATGCAGGGTCTAAAACCTAGATGACGGGTTGATAGGTGCAGCAAACCACCATGGCACACGTATACCTATGTAACACACCTGCACGTTCTGCACACGTATCCCAGAACTTAAAGTAACATAAAAAAGTGCATATTCTGTTCTAATGGGTATATGCATGTATATATAAATACACACATATTTTATCATAAACCATTCTAAATTTTTCCACATACAACTTCAGTATAAATTATAAATACCATTTACGACATAGATGCAATAAACTTTTGTGAAGCAGAGGTTGAATTTTATATACTACACTTAGCCAATGGGCTCATTTACAAGGGAAACATCAGTCTGTGAATGATTCATTACTCAAGGGGAATGTGAGCCTTTATTTTTTAATTGCTACTATACTATGCAAAATGTTCTAGGACTTTCCAAAGAACATAAAAATAAAATTTTAAAATGGCATTGCCATTTTACAGGGAAGTCTGGAATGATGTGTACAAGTAATATGGCAATTTGAACCGCTGACCCAAAGCACCAGCCTGGAGTTCAGTAAAGTCAAAGGCAAGGAAGATGAGAACGCATTACTCAATGAGACATTCCACTTAATTGTAAATGAAATTTGAGTTAGAATTGTTTAATGCCAAGCAAAAACAAAGGGCGCTTCTCTGTCATGAGAAATCCAACACAATTTAGTCCCAGAGTTCCTAAACATGAGGGCTGGGTGACTTTCAGCTGAACAAACTCGATGGCAAGACTTTTTCTTCTTTGCAAACTACAGGAAACATGCTTCACTTTTTTTTTTTTTTTTTTTTTTTTTTTTTTTACAAATCAGAAAAAGAGTGCATAGCTTCTGTAGTTTAGTGAAAAAGGAAAATTATATAGAAGACATTTAAAAGTAATTCTGAAATGGCCCCCCTTTTTTTTTTTTTGAGACAGAGTCTCACTCTGTTGCCAGGCTGGAGTGCAGTGGCATGATCTTGACTCACTGCACCGCCTCCCGGGTTCAAGTGATTCTTCTGCCTCAGCCTCCTGAGTAGCTGGGACTACAAACGTGCGCCACCACGCCCAGCTAACTTTTGTATTTTTAGTAGAGACGGGGTTTCACCATGTTGGCCAGGATGGTCTTCGTCTCTTGACCTCATGATCTGCCCACCTCGGCCTTCCAAAGTACTGAGATTATAGGAGTGAGCCACTGCACCCGGCCCTGAAATGGCCTCTTATACCCAACTGCTACTAGGCTCGCCCTGGATTTACTTCCCTGTTGTTTTTTGACTTATATTTCAATATATAATTTAAAAAAATAAAACTGGGATAATACTAGACAAAGCTTTAAACCTTTGAACAATCATGTAGTTAACATTTCTTCATGAATTTAAATAATTTTAAATCAAGATTTTCAGTGGCTACATCATAATTTATCACCTACAGGTGTAATATTTCATGTAACTATAAGCCATCCTATTGCATATTGACTTTGATTCTAGCTTTTACTAGAATATATAATGCTACAATAAATATCCTTGAGAATAAATATTTGTTTGCATCTCTGGTTATTTTCTTAGAATAAATTCCTTGAAATGGAATTACTAGGTGAAAAGATATCAATAAACTTTTTAAAATGTCTTTGATATGGAATAGAAATCACACTTTATTCTTTCAAAGTTTTTAGCTAAGTCTCCCCGCTCTTCTTCCCTATTCCCTTATGTACACACACACACACACACACACACACACACACACACATTTTAGTTCAGCCCTTTTTTCTTTTCATTTGTCTCCTTTCCCCTTCAACACCTTCATCCTACCACATCCACGTATGTGTGAACCCCATTCTTCCCACCCAGATCACCTATGTTGACAACAGAGTTTGAATCCTTCAATACTTTAGTGTAATGAGAACACTTGGACATAGGGTGGGGAACACCACACACCAAGGCCTGTTGTGGGGTAGGGGGAGCGGGGAGGGATAGCATTAGAAGACATACCTAATGTAAGTGACGAGTTAATGGGTGCAGCACACCAACATGGCGCATGTATACATATGTAACAAACCTGCACGTTGTACACATGTACCCTAGAACTTAAAAGCATAATAAAAAAATTTTTAGTGTAAATATTTTATATATTCCAAATTTTCCTTCAAAAATTTAAAACCAATTCACTATCTTACCAATAATGTATTAAGATGACCATTTCAGGCCAGGCACAGTGGCTAATGCCTGTAATCCCAGCACTTTGGGATGCTGAGGCAGGAGGATGGCTTGAGCCTAGGAGTTTGAGACTAGCCTGGGCAACATAGTGAGACTCCATTTCTACAAAAAATAAAAATAAAAACTTAGCTGAACATACTGGCACGTGCCTGCAGTCCCAGCTACTTGGGAGGCTGAGGTGGGAGAACCACATGAGCCCAGGAGGTTGAGGCTGCAGTGAACCGTGATCATGCAACTGCACTCCAGCCTGGGCAACAGAGCAAGACCCTCTCACACACACACACAAAAGATGACCATTTCACTGGGTATTATATTTCAATTGGAGCTTCTTTTATTACTAGTGAGCTAGTCAGTTCAAACATTTTTTAGGTCATTCGTTACTTATATAACTCTTTTTGTTTTTTAAACAAATGTTCTATTCTTGCTTTGTTGCCTGCTTTCTTTTTTGTATTGGGAGACATTTATTTTTCTTATTAATTTACAAAAGTATCAAATAGGGTGCAAATGTTGTTTCTCAGTTTTTTTTGCATACATTTAAAGTTTGACTACTTTTTTTTTGAGATGGAGTTTTGCTCTTGTTGCCCATGCTGGAGTGCAATGGCACGATCTCAGCTAATTGCAACCTCTGCCTCCTGGGTTGAGGCGATTCTCCTGCCTCAGCCTCCCTAGTAGCTGGGATTGTAGGCACCTGCCACCATGCCCAGATAATTTTTGTATTTTTAGTAGAGATGGGGTTTCACCATGTTGGCCAGGCTGGTCTCGAACTCCTGACCTTACGTGATCTGTTCACCTCAGCCTCCCAAAGTGCTGGGATTACAGGTGTGAGCCACTGTGCCCAGTGACTACTTTTTTAACATAGAAAATTTACTTAACTTTTCATTAACTTTATTGATCTTTATGTTCATGCTTCCTTTATTGTAAGATTACACAAATGTGTATATTTATGCTTTCTTATAGTTTCATTATTTAATGGTTAAATATTGGCCCATCTAGAAATTCAATTTTTTAAACTGTATGAGGTAGGGGTATAGTTTTATATTATACAAATGTATATACTTTCCCTAAGAGTTAAGCAGTTGCCCTGGGTTCAAATATTGATTAGTTTTCTTTTCCCAACTCTTCTCTTTCAACTTTGAAGATTTATTTCATTATGTTATCTTTGAATTGGCTATTAGTACTCATAATTGAGTAATTTAAGTCATATGTAATATTATACTTCCCCATACAAGATTCAAGTTCTAGAGAATGATTTAGACTAAGATGTGGAGGTCTTCTTTGTTTAGACAGAATGACTCATATAACTTTTCTCCAATTAAATACCAATAAAGCCAGAGTCTGTCAAACCAGTGGTTGATTCATTTCAATTTTTGAAAGTTACTCCAAGAAATAGCTTATGAAAGACTGTAGGAATGCCTCTTTATTACACACTTCTGCTAAGTTGTTGTCCTTTTTTGACACATCTTTAAGTATCTAGCAATAATACATTAAATCCATGCGATTTTTGTGCGTGTTTCTTAAATCCTCTGCACCTCAGTTTCTTCATTTGTAAAACTGGGATAATAAGAAATAAGAATACTGGCTGGGTACATGGCTCATGCCTATGATCCCAGCACTTTGGGAGGCTGAGGCAGGAGGATTGCTTGAGCACAGGAGTTCCAGAACAGCCTGGGCAACACAGCAAGACCCTGTGTCAACAAAAATTACAAAAATTAGCTGGGTGTGGTGGTGTGTGCCTGTGATCTCTGCTGCTCAGGAGGCTGAGGTGGGAGGATCACTTGAGCCTGGGAGGTTGAGGTTGCAGTGAGCCGTGATGGGATTGTGCCACTGCACTGCAGCCTGGGAAACACAGAGAGACCCTGTCTCAAAAAAAGGAAGGAAGGAAGGAAGGAGAAAGAAAACTGACCTTCTCTGTTTGTGAGTCTAACACTCACAAACACATATTTGTTTGTGAAACATAGAAAAGTAAATTTTCTATGTTAAAAAAGTAGTCACTGGGCACAGTGGCTCACACCTGTAATCCCAGCACTTTGGGAGGCTGAGGTGAACAGATCACGTAAGGTCAGGAGTTCGAGACCAGCCTGGCCAACATGGTGAAACCCCATCTCTACTAAAAATACAAAAATTATCTGGGCATGGTGGCAGGTGCCTACAATCCCAGCTACTAGGGAGGCTGAGGCAGGAGAATCGCCTCAACCCAGGAGGCAGAGGTTGCAATTAGCCGAGATCGTGCCATTGCACTCCAGCATGGGCAACAAGAGCAAAACTCCATCTCAATTTTGTGAGGTTTGTGAGGCTTTAATATGCATAAAGCCTCCAGTACTGAGTCTGTGGTTTGCTATTACTATTATGAATGCTATCCAATGTCAAACTTACCTAGAAGTTCATTCTGCTACTGAAGACCTCTGTAATCTTTTGCTCAACTCTCTGTCCCCATTATCCTAAGTTACCTGTGATTTCCTCAAGGTACTTTTTCCCTCACATCTCAGCACTATGGATACACTGCTCCCTTTGCCGAGAATTCCCCACCCCACCTCTTCCGACCACCCCCATCTCCCCTGATCCCCACCTTGCAGTCAGCCTTCAGGACTCAGCTCAGGCCTTAGCTTCCCCCAAGAGTCACAGTGCCTCCTACCCCAGCAAAAGTTATGTATCTCTCTTTCATGATTCCTCAGCAGTCTGTACTTTCTTCTATCAGGACATTCATTCATTTGTTCACTCATTCATTCATTTAACAAACACTTACTGAGTGGCTCCCACATACCAGACACTGAATTATCTGTCTGCCTGCCCCTGAAGAGCGTCTTATCCAACTGGCATATAGTCTGCACTTTGTAAGTGATGGCTAAACGAAAAAATGCCTTCCCAAAGAGGTACTGCCCCTAAAATGGACTTTCTGGGCTCCTTTTTTAAACCATCAAGATCCTTTTAGGGAATTCTAACATACTCTGCAGTCTAATTTGAGTATAAAAAAAGAGGGATCCTCCTTAGTAGAAAATAGACGAGAAAGTGATAACATAACCTGGACATTCTATTTTCTTCCTGGGAGAAAAAAATTACTTATCAATTTCACCAAATTAGTGTAGATGGTATTTCCTAGGAACCTATTGTTTAAAAACAAACAAACAAAAGGCTTCCCTGCTGCTGCTCTCACTGGAAAACTCTTTCCGGTTGTTAGACTTCAGGAGATGTTTCCTGGTTGCTGATCTGACAAGAGACATCAGAAAGAACCGCATCAATCAGAGAGTTTGTGTCCTGCTCTACACACACACATACATTCACACCTCCCTTTCTCTACTACGCTTCTCTCCAAAGGTGCTTGCTGGATTCCACATCAGAATCCATACCCCCACCCCCACCCCAGGAAAGGGTAATTGGACACATTGCCCTTCTTGAGGCCTGTGTGTCTCTGGATGCTCTGCCCTAAAACTCCTTAACCGGATGATACAGCCCTGTATCATCTTGCTGTCAGCTCTTGATGTGCCCTGGAATTTCCAGGAATGAAGGGCACTCCGATGGAGAGTGATGTCCTTCGAGTCCTGTGACCTAGTTCTTTTCCAGTTCACTCAGTATTTTTGCAGAACAGGTGCCAAGATGGATGCATGCTATGTCCTCCCCAGTCAAATTGTGAGCATCTTCGAAGATGCCAAGTGCTGAGAACAGGGTATGTTAGCTAACTTGTGCTCCCTCTAGTGGCACTGCAGGAGCATAACACAGATGTTCAGATAATGCCATAGGGGATGACAGCTATTCCGCATCCTAGTGAGTAAGGATGGACATGCTTTAAATGGCCAGTTATTTAAGATTTCAGAGTCAATGGTAGGAAAACCATACCATGTCATTTAACAGTAAAAACAGTCAAATTTGGAGTTCAACTTTCTTGGATTTTTTTTAAAATTATTTCACTTTTTAAAAATAGAGGTCACAATTTGAACATAATATAAATGGGAATGCAAAATTCTAATTTATGCCCTTGGGTCTGAGTTGGTCATTGATCCAGAATAGAGGATAATATAACATGCTTATGTCACGTGCTTTTGAACTAAGTGCAACAAGGCAGAAGTAAGTGGTAATTTTCAGCATTCAAACAAAGTGAATGCACATCACGTGTGAATGGAGATGTTGAAATGTGTGTTCTGTCCAACCTGGCACTAAAGTTCTGCATAAGGCTTTTGATGTTTTGTGTCTCTCCCTCCACATACCAGATGCTGCAGAATCCACATTGCCTCCAAGGCAGCCCAGCCATGTGTCCTTGATGCTTCACGAACAATCATAAATTAGCAAAGCCAGCAGTGGCTCCCGTGACATAAGGTGGCACACTTTATGGGCTCTGCCCTCCTCGCTTCAGTGTTATTTATTCAGCTCCATATACTGTGCACCGCTTGCTCCTTTTATTACTCAGCAGAGATTTGTAAATACATAAACTCTTCCCCAAGCCATTTTCTGAAACAGATGACTGGCCGAGTGGCATGTCCTTTGTCAGAGTTTGCGCAGTGCTCACACTGCCTTGACAACAGCCACATTTCCTTATGTTCTAAGTCCTTCCTTAAATGTCTTGTGCAGGGGTCAGTCTTTTAAGATACTTTCTAAGGACTCGAGTCATGTAATTGGTCAAATGCATTGGGATATGTGACCAGATAACCAAAATGCATTTCTTAAAATCAAGCAAAACAAACAAACAAAAACAAACAAACAAAAACACTCCAACCAATAATAACAACAACAAAAGCAGTTTTTAGAAATTGGACGTAAGGGCCAGGCGCAGTGGCTCAAACCTGTAATCCCAGCACTTTGGGAGGCCAAGGCGGGTGGATCACAAGGTTAGGAGATCGAAACCATCTGGCCAACATGGTGAAACCCCGTCTCTACAAAAATATAAAAATTAGCTAGGCATGGTGGCGCTTGCCTGTAATCCCAGCTACTCAAGAGGCTGAGGCAGGAGAATCACTTTTACCTGGGAGGCAGAGATTGCAGTGAGCCCAGATCGTGCCACAGCACTCCAGCCTGGTGACAGAGCGAGACTCTGTCTCAAAAAAAAAAAAAAAAAAAAAAAAAAAAGAAAGAAAAAAAGAAAAGAAAAAAGAAACTGGACATAAGACAGAGTGCCAGGGAGGGACAGTTCAGTGCAGATAAAAGGACACTGGCAGTCTGGATGAGAGGCCCTGTCTTCGTAAGTCCTGAAATGCTCAGAGCAGAACCCCTTTCCCCACCTGGTGACTCCAGAGCTCCCACACTCAGCCCTTCTCTAACGCAGGAAGTAAAATTAGGTCCGAACAGAAGACAGTGAGAGTTGCTTTATCTAACTATTCATCTTGTTCTCAGCCAGCTTCTCCTGCCCTCCAACATTCACCTCCAATGTTGTTTCTGTTTTTTCTGTAAACTTTGTTGGGGACATCGGGGACTGAGAGAGCCCAGGCACAGTCTAGGGAGTCCTAAGTCTATGGAAATGTTATAAAATTTGTTAAAAGCTTTTATTTACAAAGAGTCAGTGACCTCAGTAATTTCACAAAATATTTTGACAAAAAAAAAAAATAAAAACCCAAACTGGTGTCATTTTGTACAAGAGAAAGTTTTAGACTCACTTGGTTATGTTCTAAGACTTTCTAGGATCAGTGGTGTCAGTGCTCTCATATTCAAACCCATACATGAAGGTACTGAAGGAACATATCTCAAAATAATAAAAGCCACCTATGACAAACCCACAGCCAACATCATAGTGAACGGGCAAAAGCTGGAAGAATTCCCCTTGAAAATTGGCACAAAAAATATGTCCTCACTCACCACTCCTATTCAACATAGTATTGGAAGTCCTGGTCAGGGCAATCAGGCAAGAGAAAGAACTAAAGACATCTAAGTGGAAAGAGAGGGAGTCAAACTATTCCTGTTTGCAGATGACATGATCCTATATCTAGAAAACCCCATAGTCTCAGCCCAAGAGCTTCTTAAGCTGATGAACAACTTCAGCAAAGTCTCAGGATACTAAACCAATGTGCAGAAATCACTAACATTCCCATACACCAACAATAGTCAAGCCGAGAGCCAGATAAGTAATGCAATCCCATTCACAATTGCCACAAAAAGAACAAATAACTAGAAATACAGCTAACCAGGGAGGTAAAAGATTTCTAGGAGAACTACAAAACACTGCTCAAAGAAACCAGAGATGACACAAACAAATGGAAATACATTTCATGCTCACAGATAGGAAGAATCAATATCTTAGAAATAGCCATACAGCCCAAAGCAATTAATAAATTCAATGCTATTCTTATAAAACTATCATTGAGATTCTTCACAGAAGTAGAAAAAACTATTTTAAAATTCATATGGAACCAAAAAAAAAGACCCCAAATAGCCAAGGCAATACTAAGGAAAAAGAACAAAGCTAGAGGCATCACCTTAGTGAACTTCAAACTATATTACAGGGCTACAGTAAATAAAACAGCATGTACTGGTAGAAGAACAGATACATTGACCAATGGAATAGAATAGGGAATCCATAAATGAGGCCACACACCTACAACTATTTGATCTGACAAAAACAAGCAATGGGGAAAGGATTCCCTATTCAATAAATGGTGCTGGGATAGCTGGCTAGCCACATGTAGAAGATTGAAACTGCACCCCTTCCTCACACCATATACAAAAATTAACTCAAGATGAAATATAGACTTAAATGTAAAACCAAAATTTAAAAACCCTGTAAGACAATCTAGGCAATACCATCCAGGGCATAGGAATGGGCAAAGATTTCATGACGAAGATGCCAAAAGCAATTGCAACAAAAGCAAAATTTGACAAATGGGATCTAATTAAACTGAAGAGCCTCTGCACAGCAAATGAAACTATCAGCAGATTAAAAAGACAACCTACAGAATGGGAGGAAATTTTTGCAAACTATGCATCTGACAAAGGTCTAATATCCAGCATCTAGAAGGAACTTAAACAAATTTACAAGAAAAAAAAACAACCTCATTAAAAAGTGGGCAAAGGATATGAACGAACACTTTTCAAAAGAAGACATACATGTGGCCAACAAGCATATGAAGAAAAGTTCAACATCACTGATCATTAGAGAAATGCAAATCAAAATCACAATGAGATACCATCTCACACCAGTCAGAATGGCAATTATTAAAAAGTAAATAAAACAACAGATGCTGGTGAGGTTGCAGAGAAAAAGGAATGCTTATTTACTGTTGTTTGGAGTGTAAATTAGTTCAACCATTGTGGAAGACAGTGTGGCAATTCCTCAAAGGCCTAAAGACAGAAATACCATTTGGCCCAGCAATCCCATTACTGGGTATATACCCAAAGAAATATAAATCATTCTGTCGTAAAAACACATGCGTGCATATGTTCATTGCAGCACTATTCACAATAGCAAAGACAGAATCAATATAAATGCCCATCAGTGATAAATTGGATAAAGAAAATGTGGTACATCAACACCATAGAATACTATGCAGCCATAAAAAAGAATGAGATAATATCCTTTACAGGAACCTGGATGAAGCTGGAGGTCATTATCCTTCACAAACTAATGCAGGAATAGAAAACCAAATACCACTTGTTCTCAATTATAACTGGGAGCTAAATGATTAGAACACATGGACACATAGAGGGAAAGAATATATACTGGGGCTCACCAGAGAGTGGAGGGTGGGAGGAGGGAGAGGATCAGGAAAAAGAACTAATGGGTACTAGGCTTAATACCTGGGTGACAAAATTATCTGTAAAACAAACCCCCAGGACACAAATTTACCTATATAACAAATCTGCATATGTACCCCTGAACTTAAATAAAAGTTAACAAACCCCACAAATCCCTACATGAAAAGACAGGGCTAATTAGCTAATTGGTAGTAATACTATTAGCAGTGTTTACTGAGTGCTTGTATCAGCCAGACACTGGTCTCAGAGCTTGAGATGCTTTAGCTCATTAAGTTAATTGGCCCATGAGTTGGGTACCATTACTGCCCTCCACCTTACAAACAGTGAACCTGAAGCAGAAAGAGTTTAACCTCAAGGTCACCCTGGTGGACATCTTGGATTTTGAATATAGGCTTTATGGTTCCATCTTGTATGCTTTGAAGCATCCCACTGCCCCTCTCACAGGATAAGGCAGGAATCACCCCCTTTGGTGTTGTGAGGACACTCAGGCCAGCCTGTGTTGCTATAGATAAATACCTGAGGCTTCATGATTTATAAAGAAAATAGGTTTATTTTGTTCTTCAGGCTGTACATGAAGCTTGGCACCAGTCTCTGCTTCTTCTGAGGACCTCAGGAAGTTGTAGCAGAAAAGGCAGGGAAGCTGGTGGGCCACATGATGAAGAAGGGAGCAAGAGAGAGGGGGATGGTCCCAGGCTATTTTGAACAATCAGCTGTACATTTTGGGGTGAACTGACTACACAGAAATTTATAGATGATCTTTCTTACTGTGAGAGTGGTTATGCACAAGGACTCTGTTCCTAGCTGAGCCATCACAGTACTTGCAGAGAGGCCAAACACTGGTACTCAAGGTTGTGTCTTTTTTAATGTCACACAGTCTCTCGTGTGGGTGAGGACTTAGTTGCCAAAGAGAGAAAAATTTTGTTGAGTCTCTGATTGGCAACTTTACCAATAAGGACACTTGAAAGCATGTTTTTTAACCCTGTGGTTGAAATGGCCTAGACACACCATGTTTGCCTCTGTCCAGGGATGTGGTCTGTTGAGCAGGTTTCATGTTCTGCTTCACTGCCTTCCAGTTCTCTATCACCAGCCCATTAGCTTTTGTCAGCTGGAGGATCCACACGGATGCCCACACACTGGGCTTCCCAGATGAGCTGCCTTCAAAGGCTGCTGCTGCTGCCTTTAGAAATGTATGAGTCCCTTCTGTCATCCTTCCCAAGATGGTGCATGGCAAGGCCCGTGGTTGTTGTGAAAGAAATATGTAGAATGAATGGTTGGCAAGGCAGCATTCCTTACTCTCTCACCACTTCCAATAAATCACATTCACATGACAGTTTCCACAATGAGAAATGGGAAATCATAGTTTCTCCAGCTTGCTTTTCTGTCTTAAGGAATGTTAGAGAGACGCTACTTGCAAAATGAAGTCGTCTCTTGGTGTCTACAGGGAATTCGTTCCAGGAGGAGGCTCAAGTCCCTTATGTAAAATGACATGGCATTTACATATAACCTACTCACATCCTTTTGTATACTTTAAATCATCTCTATATGACATAATACCAATACAATGTAAATGCTATGTAAATACTTGTTATATTGCATTTTTAATTTGTATTATTTTTTATTGTTATTAAAAAAAATTTTTTTTTTCTAATGTTTTTGACCTATGGTTGTTTGAATCCATGGCTGCAGAAACTGAGGATACCGAGGGCTGAGTATACTTAGGGTTACCTTAGGAAAATGTGCCTGGGGCACTTTCAACATAAGTGTTTATGATTTTGGAGGATTTACTTTTACCAGGCAAACTTAAACTGATCCATATCCCAGAGCCAATCAGAAGTTAAAGGAGGCCCAGAGAAAATCATAAGAAGAAAATCATAAGAAAAATGTGGGCCCCTTCCTGCCACATAACTCTTCTGCATACTTCTTCTAGGGCCACCGTCAGTGGTGGCTGCCCCCAGAGGTGGGATCCCACCTGTGGCAGGGTCTTAAATCCCCTGAATCTGACTGCAGCCCCGTCCTGGGTTGCTTCATGGCCTTTGCCATCTTCCTTTCAAGACCTCATCTCACAGCTGGCATCAAAGAAAAGGTTTCCTTGCTTTTTTGGCCTTGCAAATGCTTCTCTCCCTGATATAGACACCCCTTCACTTTTCCTCACTGTTTCTAGGTTCTTTAGTCATCCCAAAGGGCAAGCCTGCTATGTGTTCAGGTGTAGCTTTGCCAGGGAGGTGCCTTTAGTTTAAGGGTCAAAGGCATAAAGGTCTACAGTAGGAGTTAATCTGGCTTGGATGCTGGGCAAAATTTCTTTTTTTTTTCTTTACTTTTTTTTTTTTTTTTTAAGTTCCAGGCTACATGTGTAGGATGTTCAGGTTTGTTACCTAGGTAAACGTGTGCTATGGTGGTTTGCTGCACCTATCAACCCAGGCAAAATTTCATAGAGGGGCAATTTCTGGGTTTTCTAAAGCTGGCCAACTCTCCATGAATAGTTAAAGCTGGTTTAGGGTTCCAGACTCGTTCTTCCCAAGGGCCTCTCCGTGGTGCATGGGTTCCTAGAACTCTGTGATGTTCAACACTAAGTTCATACTTCAGGCTAAAAACATTTTCTATTAACCATTATTGCATCATAAAAACATAACAGCCATGGGCTAAAAGAGTGTTGAACAGGTCTGTGTAACCTGGTGACACTAAGATGAGACTGAGACTTTTAAAAATATTTAATAAAAAAAGACTGAAAAATAATTGGTCTAAACAAGGTGAAGCCAATCTGAACCCAGAGTGGGGCCTCTAAGGCTGTTTCTGGTTTGGGGGTATGTTCCAAGGCTTGGTTATTGCATGATTGTTTTGTTGGAACCACAAAGCCATTCCAGAGCCCCTGGGTGTAGGTTCAAGTTTCTTGGAGGGAATGATTTTATGCTATTAATCATTCTGGAAAGAGATCACTCTTGTGCCGGAAAATGACTCTAGAGGCTGGTCTGAGACTAAAGGACAGGAAAAATGTCCTTTTTCTACGGCAGATAGAGTCACTGCTACAAAGGACTCATCATGGATATACCAGCATGCTTTCTAGCAATGAAAGAGTGGGCTGCTTCTCAGCATTATGAAGAGAAAGTAGAACAAAGAGACAGTCCAGGGGGAACTCTGAGATTGAGAGTCTTTGTCGCAAGTACAGACTTGTCTTTGTATCATGAACTTCCCTTCCATCAATTTTTGTTAGAGATTAAATCCAGGTCTCAGGCAGCTGCAGTAGATGAAAGAGAAAATCTTAGTCTTGTGATTTGCTGCTAACCTGGCTCTCCCAATCTCCAGCACTTGCCAATTTCTGTGGTGTAAATACTCCCACTACAGCCTATTTCAAGCTACCAATGGTTTAACATCTGGCTTCAGAATTCCTCATTACTTAACAATGTGTCCTTGTGAGCCAGCACATGCTGAGGAAACCACCTCCTCCTGACTCCCCCATCCAGGCCAGAATGGACACAGCAGGGGTGTAGGTAGGGGACAGCTGTGTCCAGAGGGGCAGCCCCTCATGAAGTTCATTACCAGAGGAGGTAGCAGAATTGGTCTGGGGTTAGTATCAGGGGAACCTGCCCCAATAATTTAACGTTATTTCACGCAGGTTCTTTTCTATTTCCCTAAGAGTTGGCCGGTCTGAGAAATAAAGGGAAAGAGTACAAAAGGCAGAAATTTTAAAGTTGGGTATCTGGGGGAGACATCACATGTCAGCAGGTTCCATGATGCCCCCCAAGCCGCAAAAACAGCAAGTTTTTATTAGTGATTTTCAAAGGGAGGGAGTGTCCGAATAGGGTGTGGGTCACAGAGATCACATGCTTCACAAGGTAATAAAATATTACAAGGCAAATTGAGGCAGGGCAAGATCGCAGGACCGGGGCAAAATTAAAAATACTAATGAAGTTTCATGTCCCACTGGGCATGCATTGTCATTGATAACATCTTATCAGGAGACAGGGTTTGAGAGCAGACAACTGGTCTGACCAAAATTTATTAGGCGGGAATTTCCTTGTCCTAATAAGCCTGGGAGCGCTACGGGAGACCAGGGCTTATTTCTTCCCTTATCTGCAACTGTAAAAGACAGACATTCCCAGAGTGGCCATTTCAGAGGCCTATCCCTAGGAACGCATTCTCTTTCTCAGGGCTGTTCCTTGCTGAGAAAAAGAATTCAGCGATATTTCTCCTATTTGCTTTTGAAAGAAGAGAACTATGGCTCTGTTCTGCCTGGCTCTCAGGCAGCCAGACTTAATGGTTATCTCCCTTGTTCCCTGAACATCACTGTTATCCTGTTCTTTTTTCAAGGTGCCCAGATTTCATATTGTTTAAACACACATGCTTTATGAAAAATTTGTGCAGTTAACGCCATCATCACAGGGTCCTGAGGCAACATACATCCTCAGCTTACGAAGATGATGGGATTAAGAGATTAAAGTAAAGACAGGCATAGGAAATCACAAGAGTATTGATTGGGGGAAGTGACAAATGTCCATGAAATCTTCACAGTTTATGTTCAGAGATTGCAATAAAGACAGGCGTAAGAAATTACAAAAGTATTAATTTGGAGAACTAATAAATGTCCATGAAATCTTCACAATTTATGTTCTTCTGCCATGGCTTCAGCTGGTCCTTCCATTCAGGGTCCCTGTCTTCCCACAACAGGTTAGGAAGCTGGAACAGGACACGGTTTGGGCAGCAAAGCTGTTGTGTGCTGATAACCTTGAAATCTGGGCCATATTCAGTGTTGAGCTAGAGTTGGCCCATACATATTCCTGAGTGCTGATTGGTAAGTATCTTCAGGAATTCTGCCAACTTATGCATGTCACATGAATCACTTGAAATAAACCATGGTGGAGGTACTTACTGATACTGGGAAATGGTCAAAAGCTAGACATACAAGGCCTTTTATTTTTTTGGAAATAGTTTTTTGTTGTTGTTTTTTTCCTATCAGGCTAGTTTTGGTTGCTGGAAAAGGTGACTTCACAGGTATCAGAGTGAGATAAATACAAGACAAACACAAAGAATCTCTCACACTTCCATTAACTCATTTAATCCCTGCAACAATCTTGTCAGATACCCAGAATGAGTATTAACTTCCCCATTTTATCATACAAATTACCAAGGAACAGTGAAGGGGGAAAAAAGAGGAAAGAATACAGAAACTATTTGTAAAGATTACTATTTGTAAAGAATACAGAGACTATTATAAAGAAGGGTCAGTGATGAGTTCAAGTGATAGGAGGGAAACAGTTCCCACAGAGCTGGTGACACGCAATGAGAATGAGAGTGGTCTGAGACATGAAGGGATGGAATGGGAAATGACTTACTGGGAACTATGTCAGCCTGAAAGCTCTGAAAGAAATTCTACAGCCTTGTTTGTGAAGCCCCATGGAATAGAAAGGTAGATTCATGCATTGGAGCTCTGCATTTCCAATATGTCATACAAAATTGTGGAAATATACATGGTGCACAGCCTGGATGAATCAGGTGGTTGCCCAACGAGCTTAAAAAGTGAGCCAAGTCTCCCAGCAGTCTCCTTCCACCTTTTTTCACTTAAAGAGGGCTCTGTCTTGATTTCCTGGGAGCAGACCTTGTGTTCTCTGTGGTCTGCCCTGTCCACAGGAGACCAGAGGACAGCTTGAGGGAGAAGGGGAGGTGGGGATCTGCTTGCTTCATGACCGGGACTGCGACCAGGCTGTCAGTCCACCGATTTTTGCAAATCGTTCTAAAGCTTCATTACTACAGAACCCAATTCTCTGGAATTGTAGGATAATTCAGCCAGATTTACAGAGGTTTGCCTTTTTAACCATGTGACTCTACAGATGTAAGCAAGATTGTGATGGGAACATTTTACTTGAGAACATATTTTAAAGAACATCAGTGACTCATATTCCCGTCAAAACAAGAGCGTGCTAACAACACCTTCATGAAAACAGGCTCAGCAACCTAGATAACTCGAAAGCTCCTGTTATTGTAAATACATGGAAGTAATAAAATGTCCATTAAAATTGGTCTGCAATTCAAATTCCCACAACTCCTAGCTGGTTCTTATCTTTTCAGACTCAGTTCAATTTAATAATTAGATATTGGAAACAAAAGAGCTATCCCCCCCAACACACACACACAAGAGCTAACAAACAAATGATACTTATTTGACTCCTTTCCCTCAAGTGACGATGAACACGTCTTAAAACCTCTTCTCGTCTTTGATGTGGAATTACTGTTTTTCCCCAAGCATCTTTAATTCTTCATTTGTAAAATAGAAAAAACAATTTATGATTGCTCAGAAAACAATTATAATTTTTAAAAACTTGTACAGCGTATCTGGAAGAGTATTTTAATCTATGAAAGTACTGACTCGTTATAGATAATGTCTGAGAAAACAAACACTTTTCTCCTTTTGAGGGAGAGTGTCTCACGATAAATAATCATGTTCCTGGCTAGGGTTTGATCTCATGTGAGCTCCTAAGGGAACTGAGAGAAAAGAGAATTTAATCTTTATTCATGATCCTCTTTATTTCTCTGAGAGAAAAAAAAAAAGTAAGATGAACTGAAATGGTTCCAGTCTTTTGGAAATGTTCCAATGAAATGAGTTAAGATAGCAACAATTATTTTGAGCACAGAGGTTTTTTGCTTAAAAGTTCTATAATTTTCACCTGGAGGGGAACAGGGGGGTCAAACATCTATTGAAGCAATTTGTGATAATGTTTGTTCACAGAAGTTCAGAATTAGAGCAGTAGTGGGTAAACGGCCTCCCAGCATTAGAGACAAGAGGGATGACAGGCTGACTGGTCTGACAGACCCTCTCCAGGATTCATCTCATGCCCCATTCCTCATATATGAGAGTCCACATCAGTGACGAAGCTGCCATAATGAATGAATTGTCTACCACAGAATTTCTGGTCTCACAATCACTGGCATCACCAAAAACCTGGGAAGGGGCCAGACTCATTTCATTTCAGTTGGTAACATAGATAGAGCAGCCCTTATTTCTCCAGACACCAATACCATTATTATAAAATATTTCCTAAGGGCGCAAGGACTTCCTGCCACTTTGCTAAATTATTTTCCAGCAGAGTTCCTTAAGATTTCTGTGTTCTGGCTATACTCTATTTTATGGGAGTTCACATTCTACCAGAGTTTCTTGTCTTCTCCTAGAGAGTATTTCTCTCACAAAGATGCTCACAGACTTGTTTTCTGATTTCAGTAGGAAAGCTGGAACATAGTGCTAGGATTGATAATGAGAACTGCTTGGCTTTGTTTGAGATGCACCCCTTCCTCCAGCACCCTCAGCACACTTGCTAACTAAATCAGTATCTGGTCTCATAGTGGCTTTCCTGACATCTCAGTAGAACAGCTGTTCTTCTTTCTGGGATCTTCCGCGTGATTCTGGAAAAGTGAAATCTGGGCACTTTGGCAGATCCGTCCCACTTCTCAGGTCTGATGGCCCAGTCTTGGGCTGTGAATGATGAGGACTCCACTAAGTTTCTCTTGTGTGTGTCCAGTCACTAGCTTATTTTAAACATTGCTTGGTCATCACATTTACCCAGTGGGAGAGGAGGAGAAGGGGAGCCATGAACACCTGAGCTGAGCTGAAGTGCTTCCTGCTCCCAGGGGAAAGACCTTTCACTCCTGACACGACTGCTCCACTCCTCAGACTGTCAATAGTGCCTTAAAATACCTGTAGATTCAATGGGATTCAGATAAGAAGTGACAGTTGTTTCATTGAAGTAAATAAATTGTCTTTTCATCTCTTTCGTTGAAGGTAAGAATTAAAGGCAATTTGAAAAGGGATTTAGATTGAAAACAAGAAATCAATAAAGAAAAATCAACAAAACTAGAAGCTGGCTTTTGGAAAACATCCAATAAAATTGATAAAGTTTTAGTCAGGTAAGAAAAAAGTGAGAAGACACAAATTACTGATATCAGAAATGAAAGAGGCAGTAGCTACTGATTCCATGGACATGAAAAGGATAATAAAGGAATATTATTAAGGAAATCTATGTCCAATTTTAATTTAGATGAAGTGGGCTAATTACTTGAAAGACTTGAAAGGCAGAATCTACCAAAACGCACACAAGGATAAATAGATAATCTGAAGAGGGCCATATCTATTGAAGAAATTAAATCAATGATCAATTATATTTCAAAACAGAAAACACCAGGCCTGGATGGGTTCACTAACAAATTCCACGTTTAAGGAAAAATTAAAACCAACTCTCCATATTCTCTTCCTGAAAATAGAAGCAGAGGAAAACTTTAACTTATTCTATGAGGCCAGGCTTACCCTAATACCAAAACCAAATAAAAACATTACAAGAAAGAGAAACTAAAGACCAATATATCTCATGAAAATAGATTCAAAATCCTCAACAAAATATTAGCAAATCAAATCCAATAATTTGTTTTTCAAAATTATACATCATAACCAGTAGGATTTATTGCAGAAATACAAGGCTGGATCAATATTTGAATAGCAATTAATGTTATCAATCACATCAACAGATTAAAGAAGAAAAATTATATGATCATATTAATAGATACAGAAAAAGCATTAGACAACATCAACACCCATTCATGATTTTAAAAACTTCCCAGTAAACTAACAGTAGGGGAAAACTTCCTCAATTTGATAAAGAATATCTGCAAAAAAATACCCTATAGCTAACATCATATTTAACGGTGAAAAACTCCAAGCTTTCATCTGGGTGCAGTGGCTCATGCCTGTAATCCCAGCACTTTGGGAGGCTGAGGAGGGTGGATCACGAGGTCAGGAGTTCAAGACAAGCCTGCCTAAGATGATGAAACCCTGTTTCTACTAAAAATACAAAAATTAGCTGGGCGCAGTGGCAGGCACCTGTAATCCCAGCTACTCGGGAGGCTGAGGTGGGAGAATCTCTTGAACCCAGAGGCAGAGGTTGCAGTGAGCCGAGATGGTGCCACTGCACTCCAGCCTGGGTGACAAAGTGAGACTCTGTCTCAAAACAAAAACAAAACAAAACAAAACTCCAAACTTTCCCTCTAAGATGGAAAACAAGGCAAGAATGTGCCCTCTCATCATCCCTTTTTAACATTGTACTGGAAGTACTAGCTAATGCAATAAGACAAGAAAAGGAAAAGGTATACTGATTGGGCAGGAGCAAATAAAACTATCTTTGTTTGCAGATGACATATTATGTAAAAAAAAAAAAAAAAACCCTCAAAAATCAACCAGAAGTCTCCTAGAACTAATAAGAGATTATAGAAAAATTTAAGCATATGACATTATTACACAAAGGACAGTTCTTTCTTATATACCAACAATGAACAACTGGAGTTTAAAATTAAAAATGTAATGCCACTTACATCAGCAATAAGAAATTAAACATTTAAGTATAAATCTAACAAAATAGGTACTAGACCTATATGTGAAAAACTATAAATCTCTGATGAATGAAATCAAAGAAGAGCTAAATAAATGGAGAGCTATTCCATGTACACAGAAAAGAAGACTCAATATTGCCAAAATGTCACTTTTTCCCAACTTGATCTATAGATTTAATGCAATCCCAATCAAAATCTCAGAAAATTCGTTTGTGGATATGAATAAAATGATTTTGAAGTTTATATGGAAAGGCAAAAGATTCAGAATAGACAACACAATATTGGAGGAGACAATCAAAGTTGGAAGACTGACATTACTAAATTTCCAGGCTTACTGTAAAGCTGTGATCATCAAGACCATACATGTTAGCAAAAGAATGCACAGACAGATCAATGGAGCCCGATAGTGAGCCCAGAAATAGGCCCATGCAAAAATATCTAACTTATCTTTGACAGAGGAGCATAGGAAATTCAATGGAAAAAATTAGTCATTTCAACAAATGGTGCTGGAATAATTGGACTTTCACATGCAAAACCAAAAAAAAAAAATCATCAAGACACAGACCTTATACCTTTCACAAAAATTAACTGAAATAAATGTAAAATCCAAACCCAAAAATCTCCTAGAAGATAAAATAGGAGAAAATAGGTGTCCTTGGGTTTGGCAACAACTTCTTAGAACACCAAAGACAAAATCCATGAAAGAAACAGTAAGTTGGAAATTATTAAAATTTAAAACTTCTGCACTGTGAAAGACATTGTTAAGAATATGAAAAGACACACGATAGACTGAGAGAGAATATTTGCAAAACACATATCTGATAAAGGACATCTCTCTAAAATATGCAAAGGACTTTTAACACTCAACAATAAGGAAAGAAACAATCCAATTTAAAAAACAGGTAAAATATCTGAACAGTCACCTCACCAAAGAAGATATATAGATGGCAAATAAGTATATGAAAAGATATTCAACATCTTATGTCATTACTGAATTACAAATTAAAACAACAATAAAAGAATACTACACACTTACCAGAAAAGGTACTCAACATGTTATTTCATTACTGAATTGCAAATTAAAACAAGAATAAAATAATACTACACACTTACCAGAATGGCCAAAATCCAAAACACTGACAACGTCAAATGCTGATGAAGATGTGAAACAATAGGAATTCTCTATTCTTTGCTGGTAGGAAAGTAAAGGCCGCTTTGGAAGAGAGTTTGGACATATCTTACAAAACTAAACATACCCTTACCATATGATCCAGCAATCATGCTCTTTGGTATTTACCCAAATTAGCTGAAAACTTATGTCCACACAAAATCATGCACATAAATGTTTATAGCAGCTTTATTCATAATTACCAAAATGTGAAAGTAACCAAGATGTTCTTCAGTATGTGGATGTATAAATAAAGTGATACATCCAGACAATAGAGTACACATGATTTTGTGCTAAAAAAGAAATGAATTATCAAGCCATGAAAAGACACGGAGACATCTAAAATGCAAAATGCTAAGTAAAAGAAGCCCATCTGAAAAGGCTTGTATGATTCCAACTATACAACATTCTGGAAAAAGCAAAAGTAGGGAGGTAATAAAAAGATTAGCGGTTGCTAGGGTTGAAGTAGGGGGAGAAAGGGATGAATATGTAGAGCACAGAGGATTTCAGGGCAGTGAAATTATTCTGTATGATATTATATAATGGTGGATACATGTCATTATATATTTGTCAAAATCCATAAACTATACAACACAGTGAACCCTAATGTAAACTATGAACTTTAGTTAAGTAATATTAATGTATTAATATTGGTTCATTCCTGGGAGACAGAGGTTGCAGTGAGCCAACATCGCACACATATGTGTGTGTATATATATGTGTGTGTGTGTGTGTATATATATGTGTATATATATGTATGTGTATGTGTATATATACACATATTTTTGCATTGCATGGGCATATATATATATATATATATATATATACATGTTTATTAATTGTAACAAATGTTCTACACCCATGCAAGATATTAATAATAGGGGGAAATTACAGGGTGGGCAGAGGCAGCGTATGAGAACTCTGTACTTTCCACTGAATTTTTCTGGAAACCTAAAACTGCTAAAAAAAAAAAAGTAGTTTTTGAAGATTTTGTACTTATTCACATATATGAATTACACATATCCTAGAATCCTTGAATGCTTAATTTTCTTTCTTTTTCAATGTTTTCTGCAGACACAGGCACAATCCTTCTCACTGAAACCGTGTTGCAGCTGCCAGTTTTTACAGATTCTAATGGCCTTTCCAAAAAAATGAGTAGAGTAAGCCAGCAGAAATTCCTGTGATTTGTCATGGAGTAATCCCTGTGTACCTGCCACCACATGTGTTTTCTGATCATCACTGCAAATTCTGCTTCCCAGGTGTCCAAGAAAAGGATTTCATTTCTGGGATGATGCTTCTGAACCTGCTCATTTAGCTAAGGTAAGAAGTATGAATGTTATCATTCCTTCTGCTAACAGGGACTTATGCATTTAGTCCAGGGAGTATGATTAGAGCATGCTAATAGACAATCCTGTCCTTGTTCAAGTTCATTTCTTCATTCCCAAAAAAGTGATGAATTTTCACCTTACTGTTTACATGTTTGTGTGGTCTTTTTAACTATCTGCAGGCAGTTTTCAACCCTTATTAATAAACTTAACTAACTTCCTTTTTTCCTCTGCCAAAGAAGATCCTTTACTAAAGATCATTCCTAAAATGATTTGATCTTGCAGCTTTGCTAATGAAGACTTGAGATTCTTTTTATGAAGTCTCTTTCAAGAAATGAGACTCAGTTTTTTTTGTCTTTTTGTTATTGCCCTTGCCTTCCCTTCCCTTAGAACTGAAGATAATAGATTGAGAATCTTCTTCGTCACCATAGAGATGTGCATTTGGAGGAATTTGATATCTAAAATGTTGAAGTGAGGTTCATTAGCGACACTTAGGAAGTACACATTCTGTGCAAAAGCTGTACTATTCACCCACTAATACAAATAGAAATATCAAGAAAAATCTTGTTCTTCTAAATATTATAATGAAAAGATAATGAATAGTAGGGAAAACATGGGGAAAAATCAAATGTTTACAAAGGATCAAATAAAAATAACTTGTAAATTACAGCTATTTGATTCTTTCTCCAAAATTCTACCATACATATTTCTTCAGTCTAACGCTCTCCCAACTGAGCTATTTCGACAAAGACAACCATACATATTTCTATTCTGATTTTGAGGCTTAAAGTATGCTATTTTATTTTTTAATTATTTCATATGCAAAAGACATGAGCAGTACAGTTCTTCAATGAGAACCTTGTCCAGGCTTCCAGAGTATTCCCTGAAGCACCTAGTAGGATGCTAAGCACATATAGACAAATTCTTGATTGACTAACACAATCTATTGAGTTTTAAAGCCAAATGGTGATTATCTTATTTAAAGAGGATTACAGCTCTGGAAAGGAAGCCTATCTCCCATTAAGAGCATTGGTAGGTAGTACAAGATGTTTCTCTTTTCTTTCTCCTTAAGGAAATCTTACATCTATTCTTCAAAATACAGTTCTACTGTCCCCTTCTTTGTGAAATCTTGCCAGATACTCCGGCAAAGAATTTTATGTACCTATTTTCTCAAATGCAGTTATATTCTAGCACATTTAACATTGCATTGAAATTATTTGTGCTCAAGTTCCTTGCTTTCAAAGACAAAGGCAGTGTATTTTTCACCTTGATAGCCCTACCAGCTTGGGACAAGTAGAACCTCACTAAAAGTCTGTTAAATTCATGAATAAAATAATAATACAAGTTGGATTTCATCTTCATGTTGACCAATTCACTTTTCTCTTATCCTCAGTTACAGACTGTGCCTCTAATCCTAGCCCCATTTTGGATCTTAGTGAAGTAGCCAATATGCACATTATCATTCCTAAGGGATTGTGGACATTTCTCTGAGAATCTGTCATCATGGCTAAGCAATGGCAAAAGTGAACGGACAATGATAATAACCACAAAACCCAAAAACAACAGCAATGACAAAAAATGCCAAATAAATATTCTCCTAATGTCAGATCAGTAGCACCTTCTTTATGTAGGTAGAACAGATTGTATTATTTATTTAAACGGACAAGTCATAACTTTTAAGCCTGAGTGATCATAGTCTCCTTAGGACTTCCCAGCCTATGCGTACATTTTTTTTTTAATGTTACTACCTCCAGGCCCTACCCACGTACCATAGACACACCTCACCTCTTCTCAAAGTCCCTCAACTCAAAAGGAATTGCTTGAGGTCTCTAAATGCATGTCTTCCCTCAGGCCCCATGTTGGTGTACACACAGGTGCAGTCCATGATGTACACCAATGGTGGCTGGTCATGCAGGCAGTGCTGATAGACTTGCACCAGCCCTTTGCTGGTCCTTTGAGGTCACCCAGTGCAAACCCTCACAATGTCAAAGCAGTATCACACTCAGAGCTGCGGCCAAGAGGAGAGAGTCTTCCTCCATCCTGCATGAACAATCTTGCTTTTGTTTCTGGTTTCACCAAGCTCCTGTGAAGACTCCTTGACTTTGCCTATTGCTTGCTCTCTACAGGGCTCATGAAATAGTTCAGGGAGTAGGGTTAGTCCAAACAGGAGAGAGAGAAGTCCCCTCTCCAGATCTCACCTCTCTCACCTGCCAGTAGGAACTCATGTACGATCTACCTTGATAAGACTTCTACTGCAAAAAAGAAAAAAAAAAGATTGATTTTGCCTTGTCCATGTCTGAATTACAGTCTAGTCTCCACGAGGACCGCTGTCGCAACCACAAAGCTTACTATGTCTTTACATATGAATGTATGGATTTGATATGCTTAGATATCCTAACGGCATGAAACTGGGCCTTCTGGGTCCAGCCTTGATGCCAGTCTCCCCATTGTGTAGCATCCAGACGAAATACAAAATAGACCTTCTAAAGATCATCAAGAACTCATCTTTTTCTAAGATTCTTTCATGAGGAGTGAAGAGAGTGTTTATGTTGTACATCACCCAGCAAGACTTTCAGGAAATACACTTTAGACATCTCTATCTGTTCCTAAGATCTAATCCTCAGAGAAGCGTCATCTTTCTCAAGTTTCTAACAAGTCCATGGCTGGGGCTGGGGTAGGTTGCACCCAGGACAGAAGTGGCTCTCTCAACAGCCTCATGTGCTTTTGGCATCAGGAAACTAAAGGTACCACATTTCTATTTGGAGAAAAACCTTGGTAAAAGTATCGCTCTCTTAAAATCATTGATTGTTTTCTTCTCAAAAACCCCACCAGCAAGTAGAAAGCTGTTAATTTTTTTAAGTACTAAATTTTAAGGACAAAAATATGTGCATTTCATCCCAATCCAAGATATTCAAACAATTTTCACATTTAATAAATACAAATTTCAATAAGTTAACACATCAGCCTTGGATGGCTGTCCTGGGAAGGGCACGCTGTGGAAGGTTCCAGGACATGCTGTGCAGGTAATTCCCCTGGTCCCAGAGTCTAAGCCATGTGCTAGAGGAGAAAGATGGATTTTCACAGAGTTCTTTCCTCTTGAAGACAATCTGCCACCAGGTGTTTCTTGTCACCACAATCATGCCAGACTGCACAAGGATATATCCATTGTCCCAAGTCATGAGCAGTGCTGGGTTTCTTACTGAATATGTTCCCTGAAGTTCTAGAACGGGAAGCAACAGGGGCTTAGTGACCAGGTATTTATTATTACCCTTATTACCTGGAAGTAAATTAGAGGCAAAGTGTATGATCCAAACCAGATGGCTCATGGGTGGAAGGCACTGATTTGGTCTGGGAGAGATACCTTTATTTTTTTTGAGACAGAGTTTTACTCTGTTGCTCAGGCTGGAGTGCAATGGTGTGATCTCAGCTCACTGCAACCCCTGCCTCCTGGGTTCAAGTGATTCTTCTGCCTCAGCCTCCCAAGTAGCTGGGACTACAGGCCCCCCCCCCACCACGCCCAGCTAATTTTCATATTTTTAGTAGAGAATGGGTTTCATCATGTTGGTCAGGCTGGTCTCAAACTCCTGGTATCAGGTTATCTGCCCACCTTGGCCTCCCAAAATGCTGGTATTACAGGCATGAGCCACCGTGGGAGACACACTTTTTACCATTTGTTAAGTCTTTGTCTGTCAAAAGTTTGCCTTCAGCATGCTGTGTCACACATATGACACCTTCCCCCCAGGTCTACTCTAGCAATTTTGTTCCCAGTGCTGTTATTTGCTCTTCTTTTCTGAATACAGCCATTATCATCTTTGTTTAAATTAGCTTTGCAAGTGTTCAGAATTCATACACTTTTTGGAGAAGAATAAGTGTTTAATGTAACTCCCAGCTATAAATTGCTCCTGCAGTGACCTGATGCAGCTATGGCTAATCTTCCAAATCTTGCTCCAACACAGGGGTTCTAAACCTACTCGAGTCCATGCCCTCATGGCAACTCAGTAGTGGTCTCAGCCAGGATACTGGGCAATGGATCCCAAGGCAATCAAACACCTATTCCCTTCCTATGATGAATCCAAATTCTACAGAATCATCCACTCCCCCAGAATTCTGGACAAATACTAATTTCCAGCCTGCATTCTTGTGAAGAATTTTCATAGACTTTCCTAATCTTAGAGTGATAAGTTACACGTCCAAGCAAAGAAATATTTGCTTCTCATAACATACATGGAGGCACTCACCGTGCATTCTCCCAAACATGCCATTCTGAATTCAGAGTAGTTTCCTCGCTTTCCCTTCTACTTTGAGGTGGACTCCAAGGGACATCCCAAATTGTGCTTGTTACTGCCTAAGCTCTTCCACACTGTAGGTCCAGCAGTTATGGTGAAATTGCTCTCTTGACCCAGTTCTATGTTGACGATTTAAACAAAGGTATGGTTGGGTACTTAGGTTCCAATTCCTGGTTGACAGTCCACACAAAAACAAACAGGATCTTTCCCCCTGCCTCGAAGGTAGGAGCACAGCATGGCACAGCATCTGAGGAAACAAAATCCAATATAAGAAAAGCACTGAAAAACAATGCATGTTTTTTATGGAAGTGTCCTGGGAGCTGTGGAGTGTAGGTGAGGTGGAACTTACTTCTTATAACATAAAGAGACACTTCTGGAAAGCCTGCTTAGATATCTCTCTCCCTGCAAAATATTGTATAGCGGCTGTCCCCAACTCCTCCTGCCCTCTGCCTCCAAACATTCCCAAGCCAAGTCACCGTTTTCTACTCTCTCTTACTTTGGCCAACCTTCTCTAAGTCTCTCCCTGCCTTTCAAATTGTTGTCGTGGTTGCTGTTGTTGTTATTGCTCCAGGTATCTGTCTTGATGACCTCTCTTATGTAGATCAATTCAACCTTTCTCATCTTCTCCAAGCCTGTATCTCCAGCTCTCACCCTATTCAGGGAAAACAAGACCTAGTGTGTGAGGCATGAAAAAGTGGTTTCCTCTGAAGGGATTGGAGGCTACACACAGTCAGCATTTCTGTCCCAATCATGCTGAGTTCAACTGCACTTTGAAAGGCTAGGTGAGGGCTGGTAAAAATGCTCACAAGCTTTTCTTGCCTATGGACTGCTTAAAACTCTCTTGCTCTGTTTAGCTGATGAGAAACAACTTTTCCCTCCCACCGATGAAAGAAATCTGCCCAAGCACTGCTACACTTCTTGGCTCTCAGCTTGCTTTCTGTTTCACACCTTTGCTACAGATGAAGGATGTGATGAAGTGTTTTGGTTGAGAGATGTACTCCCCCAAAACTCCTTCCTTTCTACTTTTAACAGAGTGGAGGCATCATAAATAGTGTTACTTGAGAAGTGGAATTAATAATGCCACACAGGAGTTGAAAATAATGGGTACAGTCACTAGGCCAGAGTGGAGATAAGAAATTGCCAGAATATGAGAAGTTCTATATGTCAGTTTGAGTGCAGCAGAGATACTCGAAAGACCCTTTAATAAGGGCTGACTGGGATTTGTTTGGGAGAGCTTCATGGAAGTATGTTTTGATCAGTATTTCAAAGAAAACAAGGCAGTGTTTTAAAAGAAAGAGGTGGAAAGCAGATTTCAGGGATAGATGCATCGTCCTATAGAATTCTTTATCTAAAATCTTTGTACCTTACAGAATGATTGACATACGGCAGGTATCAGGAGATGATCATGAAGTGAATTGATTAATAACTGAGATTGCATGCTGCCTAATTAGTGTTCTAACCTGTGCCCAGAACTGGGTCACATGAGGAGAATGAGACTAACCAGGTACAGAGACAAATGAAGAGACATTTAATGAGGGTCTTTGGATAACATTTGCTGGTTCCACTCCAATGTCAAAGGAACTTCAATGTCAAACATATTTCCTACTTATCTCACCTCAGACAGATGCCCTAGGATGTAACCACTGAATTCTTAATTTTCTGGACATCAAAACAAGAATTGTTAAAAGAATGCTGTTTGAATTGTAAATGACAGAGATGGAACTGAGTGAAAGATTGCTGAGGCTGGTGGGCTGGGGTGGGCAGGAGAGTAGTGTTTGGTGGGAGTTAGTTGAGAAAGACCATATGGCCCCTCTCGAAACTCAGTATTACAGCAAGCTTCTTCCAAGTTTCCTCCTGGCTCTCCCTAGAATTTTGGTGTTCGTGCCATATGAATACAACTACTACTTTACGAAGGGTATAAGAATAGAGTGTTGATTTAGATTATTTTGGTCAGTATTTGTCAGTTCTGCCACTGCTATAAAGAAATACCTGGAACTGGGTAATTTATAAAGAAAAGAGGTTTCCTCGGCTCACAGTTCCACAGGCTGCACAGGAAGCATGGCTGGGGAGGTCTCAGGAGACTTACAATCACAGCGGAAGGCAAACGGGAAGCAGGCATATCTTACACGGCAGGAGCAAAAGGCAGAGAGAGAGAGAGAAGGGGGAAATGCTGCACATTTTCAAACAACCAGATCTTGTGAGAACTGTCACAAGACAACACTAGGGGATCGTGCTAAACCATTAGAAACCATCCCCACGAGCCAGTCATCTCCCACCAGGCCCCACCTCCAGCAATAGGGATTATAATTCCACATGAGATTTGGGTGGGGACACAGAGCCAACCCGTATCAGTCAGTCTTTGTCTCCTTTGCCATATTTGGAATATTCTAAAGATTAATAGTGTGTTTGCTAATATTAATATCTCATTGCATATAATAATTTTAGATGCAATTATGAAGGATAATGGGATTGACTCTGGATAAGGAAGAAGAAAAGTAAGGGGCATATTGCTGGATGTTAAAATGAAATCTGTGTGTGTCTGGGCGGGGTGGGAGGGCAGTCTGTAAACGCATACACAAGTCAGCTGACCTGTGGCCAATTTTCAAAGAGAAATTTTGCTGCTGTGGTTAGTGTGGTTAGTTACCAACTTTCTTTTTCTTACTACTTTCTTATTCACTTATTGTCTAATTGGGGTAAAACTCTTTCCCCTCGATGTGATCTTTCCCTCCTTCACCTTATCCTTCAGATCAGAGGAAAATATATCTATCTCTACGTCTATCTTTGCTACTGTGCTTCACAATAAAAACTTTTTTCAAAGATTAAAAAAAGCTACTTTTATCTTCTCACACATTTCTAGAAAATTATCCAAAATCAATCATCTTGTCCTACCTCATTCCTTTCAAATAAATTTAGATTTTTACTGTTCATTCTCACCTGCATGCTCATAAAATAACTAAAGCGGCACAGCCTGGAGGTGACAGCTTGAAGCTGCTGGCCAAAGCCAGTGGGTGTGAATGGCAATGTGGAAATAAATGGAGACCCACCGAATGAGAACAAACAAAGGCTGTTATTATTCAGAGCTTGCTACAGCAAGGGAGTCAGCCATCATCACTTGTGTTTTAGCAGAGGCTAAAAAACTGGCAGAGGACTAGGAGAGCTTCATTGGAAACATCCTTCAGTGGAAGGCTTCAGGTGTGCCCTGATTGGAGGCTACTGGGAGAGGGAAGCTGGAGGTGGCTGGCTAGAAGCAGGCAACCTATGTGATTGGTTGGGGGAGCGTATTCTACATTCTCTGGTCAGTCCTAAATTAGAAGTGGAAACTCAAATTAGGGAATTTGTCAATTAGGAATCACATTAAAATGGTCAATAAGTATTTGAGAAAATGCTCAACATCACGAATCATCAGGGAAATGCAAATCAAAACCACAATGAGGTATCATCTCACCCCAATTAGAATGACTATTATCAAAAAGCCCCAAAATAACAAATGCTGGCATAGATGTGGAGAAAGGGAACTTTTTAAGAATTTTTTATTTATATTTATATATTTTTAAGAGACAGGGTCTTGCTCAGAAGTACAGTAGTGCAATCATACATAGCTCACTGTAACCTTGAACTCATGGCCTCAAGTGATCCTCCCTCAGCCTCCCAAAAGTGCTGGGATTAAAGGCACAAGCCACTGTGCCCAGCCCCAAAGGAAAATACACAGTTGGTGGGAATGTAAATTAGTGCAGCTACTGCAGAAAATAGTATTCAGTTTTTCTCGAAAAACTGAAAATAGAACTACCATACAATCTGTCAATTCCACTATGGATATTTATTATCCAAAGAAAAGGAAACCAGTATATCACAGGGATACCTGAACCTCCATGTTTATCGCAGCACTATTAGATATAGCATAGATATGGAATCAACTTAAGTGTCCATCCACAAATGAATGGCTTTTTTAAAAATGTGGCATGTATACACAATGGAATACTATTCAGCCATAAAAAAAGAATAAAATTCTGTCATTTGTAGCAGCATGGATGGAACCAAAGGTCATTATGTTGAGTGAAATAAGCCAGGCACAACAAGAAAAATATTGAATGTTCTCACTCACATGTAAGCTAAAAAATGTTGACGTCATGGAGATTGTAAAATGATAGATACCAGAGGCTGGGAAAGGTAATGTGGGGGCAGGGAAAAAAGAGAGGTTGATTAATGAATGCAAAACTATGGTTGGATAGGAGGAATAAGTCCTAGTGTTTGATAGCACAATAGGGTAATTATAGTTAACAAAAATATATTGTATATTTCAATAGCTAGAAGAGAAGATTTGGAATGTTCCAAATGCAAACAAATAATAAATGTTTAAGCCAATGGATGTCCTAAATACCTTGATTTGATCATTACACATTGTATGCATGTATCGAAATATCACATGTATATACAATTATGATGTATCAAAAATTAGTGAGTTTTAAAAAAAGACTTATAAAGCAAAAAAAGATTAGCCATGGCTTTTTGGGGTTCTTGTTTGACTTCCTGGACTGTTGCTAGACAAAGCAACCTGACTTTCCACAAGTCTGACACAGCCGGCTGGCTTCCTGGGCTGGCTACTGTGTTGGCTTCCTGGGCAGGTTGCTGCAGGCTGTAGGTCAGAGTTCTGTCTTTTAGGCATGGTCTGGCTGTTTTCTGTTTATCTATTCAGTCTCTCATTAGTGTTGCCAGAACCAGGAGGTAGAACCAGGAAAGGCTAAAATTCCTGAAGGCACAGAAGCTCGGACTGGATTATTCATCCATTTACATCATTTCATGTGTCAGCCATCAAAGCGAGGTTGATGCTTGAGTCTTGGGATCAAGCCCTCACTGACTTACCCCACCCCAGACAATTGGTGGTAGGTTAGGAAGGGCAGCTGTTCTCTCTGAGACCCACTCACACTGTGGCTCAAGTAGCTTCTGAGCCACAGCAGTGCTCAACAAGGTAGTGGGAAAACTCCTATCCCTTAGGCTGTAATTGCTCTGTAATTTATTCAGAAGGAGGGCACGGTGTATTCCCAATGACAGGCAGCAGTATTGAAAAGCTATCAGCAGACCATGAGCATGTTGAATGCATTTCCTAATCTCCTTTTCCATCTGCCTGGGTTGACCTGACAGTCTGACTCTCTGAAAATAAGAGAGCATACTGGGGAAGCTGTTTTTCTTCTTAATTTCTTAATTTGATCTGGCCTGCATCATCTCCTTTCTGTGTCAAACTCTGGGATTCCGAGGTTTTAAAAAATAACAGCAAAGATTTGCTTGGTGCTAGAGATTTAGTATCTGATCAGATGGCTAAAGAGCAACTGTGAAGCAATTAATGTAAATATTCATTTAATAAATGACCGAATAAAAAATGAATTGAATAAATGACTGAATTCAGAACTCATCTTAGATTTCACCGCACCTCTGGGAAGTTCGTCACACCTTGCTGGTCAGAGGGGTGGCCTGTTGTCCCCCTGGCTTCTGTACCTTAGTGTTGAAAGACAGCGCTGTTGAATGGCTATGGTGTTCCTACCACTCTCCTCCTTTACTCTGTAAGCTACTTTTTTGGAACAAGTATTCTTATTTTGTTTCTGCATCCCCAGCACTTGTCAGTGAAACTGCACAGAGCAGGAATGAGTCTAGTGTTCATGAAAGGAACATGGAAACAGTACAAGAAAAAACCTTGGCAATTTGGTAATACTGAGGAGAATTTTCCTAGTATCATCACCATTCCTTTCTTCACTGCCTTTAAGGATTAACAACTTTTTTTTTTGTAAAATTTCAGTCTGCAGCACATGAATCATTTATAAAAGGCTACCAAATGATAAAATACTATCTTATCTCTGTGAGGTAGTTGGATCTGAGCAGGAAAGTAGGCTCTGTTGATAGATTCAGGTAAACAGAATTAGTGCCAAATGAAATGTCTATATGAAGAAGTGGTTGCCGGGGTGTGAGGCATTTGGGTGGGCAAGTAAGAGAGAAGGTTTCCAGCTGGGCCATCATGGTGCCATCTGGAGAAAGAGGAACGCAGGAAGTTGGGGAGACCAGGATAAAATCAATCCTGGACATGGTGAGTTGGAGGTACTTATCAGACATCAAAGCGGAGTGCAGAAGAAAGATTGTGCTGGAGTTATTGATTTGGGAGTCAGTAGCACTGAAGAGATTACTGAAGACTCACAGTGAGTTCCTTTGTCCAGGTACAGTGAAAACTAGTAAAGAAGAAAGAGCAGAAAGCCCAAGGCTGTGCCCTGAGAAACACCTGTCTCAGGGACAAGAAGAGGGACCTGCTATGGATACAGAAAAGCATCCAGAAAAGGAGAGGCCAGATATAGGAAACCAGGAGACATAATGTTTGGAGATTGTGCAGGAGAAGGCTTGGAACTGTGATTGCCCCCAAACAAAGAGGCTGAGGGTCAATCCTGACCTTTATGATAAGAGTTGCTTATACTGATCAATAATTTCTGCAGGAAAGAGAAAGACATGAACATCTATTTCTAACTCAGATGACTCTTCCAAAAGCCCAGCTGGCTAAAAATATAGAAGGTAGTTGAAAAAAATACAAATAGGCAATATATAAGTTTTCTTTGCCTGTGAAATTCTAATATATACAATCACCTACTGTTCCTAGATAATCTGTCAGTGAAGTAACATGTTGTTTCCTTTCATTTTATTTTATTTTTTTGTATTGATGTGGTCTTGCTATGTTGCCCAGGCTGGCCTCAAACTCCTGACCTCAAGCAATCTTCCTGCCACAGCCTTCCAACTTGCTGTGATTACAGGCATGAGCCACTGTGCCCAGCCCTGTTTCTTTTAAAACCAGAAAAAATAGTACAAAATAACTCACATAATTCCTACAAAACATAAGATCAATCCAGACATTTTATAAGATTCCAGCGGCCCATAATGAAACCAACATTGCCTATACAAATTGTGTTCCCTTGGTGCAGATCAGAAACTGAGGTATATTTGCACAGAAAAAGACTGTCCTAGAATAAACCCTGTGGCCTAATGTTTCCTGTTATTTGACAAGATGGTGAGCTAGGAGAGACATAATAGAATGCAGTATTGGTGGAGGCAGAGAGTCCTCTACTGTGGCCAGGGACATGGAGAAAAGTGTGTGAGAAGGTGCAGAAAAGATTATTGGTTTGGTAGTAGGAATTTCAAGGACATTTTTTCTGATAGCTGCTATTTTATTTGAAGTAGGAGGTGAGGTAATTTGCTGAGAGTGAGCAGAGTGGGAGTAAGGATGTATGTATGCAGAAAATGCAAAAGGTTTCAATTTTTGGTTTAGATTTTTTTTTTTTTTTGGTGGAGATCAGAAGAGAAAGATGACTTAGGAAAACATAGGATGGGTAGGTAGTTAATTTAGAGGGGCACCAGCCTTAGACTTTCCTCTTCAACCAAAACAATTTTAAGTCCTTCTGTCTACCGCCACAACAACTGAGTTTAACCTCCTTTTCTTACAAATAATACTTATGTGTGTTTCTGAAGAATTGCCCTTCTGCGAAGGCACCTGTGGTTTAAAGTAGCTACCTTCCTTCTGATGGTTCATGATGCTTCTCTTTGTGTAACTACTCAGATATATAGGCTCTCCTTGCCTTCCATCATGAGTAAAAGCCTCCTGAGGCCATCACCAGAAACTAGGCAGATGCTGATGCCATGCTTCTTATACAGCCTGCAGAACTGTAAGCCAAATAAACCTCTTTTTTTTATAAATTACCCAATCTCAGGTATTCCTTTATAGCATGTAAAATGAATGAAGTAACACATTACTCCTGTCTAGTTAATATCATAGCTGACAGTTATACATATTTATGGGGTACAATGTGATGTTTCAATGCATGTACACATAGTATAATGATAAGAGTAATTTCCATATTCATCATTTTAGACATTTATCCGTTCCTGGCAGTGATGACATTCAAAATCTCTTCTAGATGCCTTGAAATACATACTACATTGTTACTTGCTATAGTCACCCTGCTGTGTAGTTGTGGATATTTTTAGTGTTATTGAATTTCCTGATGGAATAGGAATAAAGCTTTATATTTCTTTCCTACTGATTTCTTCTACCATGTTGCACTAGAGAACACAAAGTGCAAACGATGATGATAATAATGACGCTCTTGCTATTTTGGAAACCATCCAAAATACAGGCAATATCAACTGTGAATGCAAAGAATTTTCACTTTAAAACGGTATCTAACTGGTAAACCCTTTGCAACCTCTCTCTAGACACACTAAAATATTTGTAAAAATAGAGAAAGAGATAACATTCTTTTTTATTGCTGTAAGAACACTTAACATACAATCTACCCTCTTAGCAAATGTTTAGGTGTTATAATATATTATTGTTAACTATAAGCCCAATATTGTACAGCAGATCTCTAGAGCTTAATCATCTTGCATAGCTGAAATGTTACACCCATTGAATAGCAGCTGTTCATTTCTTCCTCCTCCCTGCCCCAGAAATCATCATTCTTTGTGCCCACTTTATATATCTCATAAATATTGCTATCATGCTTATTTCACTTGGCATAAGGTCCTCAAGGTTTATTCATGTTGTCACATATGCCTCAAGGTTTATTTATGTTGTCACATATGGCAGGATTTCCTTCATTTTTTAAGGCTGAAAGATATTTCATTATATGTGTATACCACATTAATATGGTCTGGGTCTGTGTCCCCAAATCTCATGTCAAATTGTAATCTTCAGTGTTGGAGTCGGGGCCTGGTGGGAGGTGATTGGATTGTGGGGGCAGATTTCCCCTTTGGTGCTGTTCTTGTGATAGTGAGTGAAAGATTGTGAGATCTGGTTGTTTAAAAGGACAAATAGGCACATCTTCTTTATCTGCTCATCCATTAATGAAGATTTAGTTGTTTTTACAACTTGATTACTGTGAATAATGCTGTAATGAACATGGGAGTGCAAATATCTCCTCAAGTTCTTTTGGATAAATACCCAAAAGTAAGACTGATCATGTGGTGTTGCTATTTTTAATTTTTTGAAAAACCTCCATATTGTTTCCCATAGGGGCTGCACAATTTTGCATTCCTACCAACAGTGCACAAAGGTTCCAATTTCTCCACATCCTCATCAACACTTACAATTTTTTCTTGGTTTTTTTTTTTTTTGACAATAGCCATCCTGACAGGTGGAAGGTTATATCTCATTGTAGTTTTTCTTTATATTCCCTTGATGGTTAGTGATATTGAGCACCTTTTCTGTTCATTTGATTCTTGGTTGGTTTGTTTGTTTTGAAACAGAGTCTTGCTTTGTCGCCCAGGTTGACTGCAGTGGTGCAAACATGCCCACTACAACCACGACCTCTTGGGCTCAAGTGATCCTCCTGTCACAGCCTCCCAAGTAACTGAGACTACAGGTATGACGACCACACCAGGCTAATTAAAGACAAATTGTAGAGCTGGGATCTTACTATGTTGCCCAAGCTGGTCTCAAACTCCTGGGCACACAAAATCCTCCTGCCTCAGCCTCCCAAAGTGCTGGGTTTACAGGCAAGAGCAAGTGTGCCTGGCTGAGCATCTTTTCATGAACCTCTTGGTCATTTGTATTCTTTGGAGAAATGTCTATCAAGTCTTTTGCCCATTTTTTAATTGGATAATTCATTCTTTTGCCATTGAGTTGAAGGAATGTCTTATATATTTTGAATATTAACTGTTTATCAAATATATGGTTTGCAAATATTTTCTCCTGTTCTGTAGTTTGCTTTTTCACTCCATCAGTTGTTTCTTTTGCTATGCAGGCACTTTTTAGTTTGATCTAGTCCTAAATGTCTATTTTTGCTTTCATTGCCTGTGCTTTTGGTATCATATCCAAGAAGTCATTGGATGAAGCTTTCCTTTATGTTTTCTTCTAGAAGTTTTAGTTTTAGGTCTTATATTTAAGTCTTTAATCTATTTTGGGTTTTGAGT
The DNA here is from genome assembly GCF_000001405.40 of Homo sapiens. Classification (NCBI taxonomy): domain Eukaryota; kingdom Metazoa; phylum Chordata; class Mammalia; order Primates; family Hominidae; genus Homo; species Homo sapiens. Next base: position 233,821,350 of record NC_000001.11, read on the forward strand.
ATAAAGTGTAAGTTTAAATTTCATTCTTCTGCATGTGGCTATCCAGTTTTCAAATACCATTTGTTGAAGAGACTTTCCTTTCCCCATTGTCTATCCTTGGCATCCTTCTCAAAGGTAAGTTGACAAAGGTAAGTTTCTGGGCTCTCTATTCTCTTCCGTTGATTTATATGTCTGTCTTTATGCAAATACCAATTTATTTTAATTATTGTAGGAAGCCTGTTACCTCCAGGCTTTGTTCTTACTTCTCGAGACTGTTCTGGCTATTTGTGGTCCTTTGTGATTCAGTATGAATTTTAGGATTCTATTTCTGTAGAAAAATGCCACTGAGATTTTGTTGGGAATATATTAAACCTGTAAATCACTTTGGGTACTATGGACACCTTAACAAACATAAGTCTTCCAATCCATAAGCACCATAAATCTTTCCATTTATTTGTATCTTCTTTAATTTCATCAATTTTTAAAATAGTTTCTGATGTACAATTTTTTTCACCTTCATGATTACATGTATTTTAAATATTATATTTGACTTAATGGAAATGGAATTATTTTCTTAATTTTTATTTTAGATAGTTTCTTTCTAGTGTATAGAAATTGAACTGATTTTTGATATACACTGTGGTGGCTGGCAAGATGGTCGAATAGGAACAGCTCTGGTCTGCAGCTCCCAGCGAGGTTAATGTGGAAGGCAGGTGACTTCTGCATTTCCAACTGAGGTACCTGACTCATCTCTTTGGGACTAGTTAGACAGTGGGTGCAGCCCACGGAGGGCAAGTTGAAGCAGGGTGGGGCATCACCTCACTCAGGAAGCGCAAGGGGTCAGGGAATTCCCTCCCCTAGCCAAGGGAAGCTGTGAGGGACTGTGCCGTGAGGAATGGTGCACTCCAGCCCAGATACTATGCTTTTTCCACGGTCTTCACAACTCGCAGACCAGGAGATGCCCTCGGGTGCCTACACCACCAGGACCCTGGGTTTCAAGCACAAAACTGGGCGGCCATTTGGGCAGATACTAAGCTAGCTGCAGGGGTTCTTTTGTTTTTGTTTTTTTTCTCATATCCCAGTGGCGCCTGGAACACCAGTGAGACAGAATGCTTCACTCCCCCGGAAAGGGGGCTGAAACCAGGGAATCAAGTGGTCTAGCTCGGTGGATCCCACCCCCATGGAGCCCAGCAAGCTAAGATCCACTGGCTTGAAATTCTCACTACCAGCACAGCAGTCTGAAGTCAACCTGGGATGCTCAAGCTTGGTGCAGGGAGGGGCATCCAGGATTACTGAGACTTGAGTAGGTGATTTTCCCCTCACAGTGTAAACAAAGCCACTGGGAAGTTCGAACTGAGTGGATCCCATCACAGCTTGGCAAAGCCGCTGTAGCCAGACTGCCTCTCTAGGTTCCTCCTGTCTGGGCAGGGCATCTCTGAAAGAAAGGCAGCAGCCCCAGTCAGGGGCTTATAGATAAAACTTCCATCTCCCTGGGACAGAGCACCTAGGGGAAGGGGCAGCTGTGGGCACAGCTTCAGCAGACTTAAACTGCCAGCTCTGAAGAGAGCAATGGATCTCCCAGCACACCACTCAAATTCTGCTAAGGGACAAACTGCCTCCTCAAGTGAGTCCCCAACTCCCATGCCTCCTGGCTAGGAGACACCTCCCAGCAGGGGCCAACAGACACCTAATACAGGAGAGATCCAGCTGGCATCTAGCAGGTGCCCCTCTGGGATGAAGCTTCCAGAGTAAAGAACAGGTAGCAATCTTTGCTGTTCTGCAGCCTCCACAGGTGACACTCAGGCAAACAGGGTCTGGAGTAGCCCTCCAGCAAACTCCAGCAGACCTGCAGCAGAAGGGCCTGACTGTTAGAAGGAAAACTAACAAACAGAAAGGAATTGCATCAACATCAACAAAAAGGATGTCCACATAGAAACCCCATCCACAGGTCAGCAACATCAAAGACCAAAGGTGGATAAATCCACAAATATGAGGAAAAACCAGCACAAAAAGGCTGAAAATTCCAAAATCCAGAATGCCTCTTCTCCTCCAAAGGATCACAGCTCCTCACAAGCAAGGGAACAAAACTGGACACAGAATGAGTTTGATGAATTGACAGAAGTAGGCTTCAGAAGGTGGGTAATAACAAACTCCTCCGAGCTAAAGGAGCATGTTCTAACCCAATACAAGGAAGCTAAGAACCTTGAAAAAAAGTTTAGAGGAATTGCTAACTAGAATAATCAATTTAGAGAAGAAAATAAATGTCCTGATGGAGCTGAAAAACATAGCATGAGAACTTCGTGAAGCATACACAAGAATCAATAGATGAACTGATCAAGCAGAAGAAAGGATAACAGAGATTGAAGATCAACTTAGTGAAATAAAACATGAAAACAAGATTAGAGATAAAAGAATGAAAAAAAAATGAACAAAGCCTCCAAGAAATATGGAACTATGTGAAAAGACCAAACCTGTGTTTGATTGGTGTACCTGAAAGTGACAGGGAGAATGGAACCAAGTTGGGGAACACTCTTCAGGATATTATCCAGGAGAGCTTCCTCAATCTAGCAAGACAGGCCAACATTCAAATTCAGGAAATACAGAGAACACCACAAAGATACTCCTCGAGAAGAGCAACCCGAAGACACACAATTGTCAGATTCACCAATATTGAAATGAAGGAAAAAATGTTAAGGGCAGCCAGAGAGAAAGGTCAGGTTACGTGCAAAGGGAAGCCCATCAAACTAACAGATCTCTCTGCAGAAACCCTACAAGCCAGAAGAGAGTGGGGGCCAATATTCAACATTCTTAAAGAAAATAATTTTCAACCCAGAATTTCATATCCAGCCAAACTAAGCTTCATAAGCAAAGGAGAATAAAATCCTTTACAGACATGCAAATACTGAGAGATTTTGTTACCACCAGGCCTACATTACAAGAGCTCCTGAAGGAAACACTAAATATGGAAAGGAAAAACTGGTACCAGCCACTGCAAAAACATACCAACTAATGCGCAAAATAATCAGCTAGCATCATAATGACAGGATCAAATTCATACACCATAATATTAACCTTAAATATAAATGTAAATGGGTTAATGCTCCAATGAAAAGACACAGACTGGCAAATTGGATAAAGAGTCAAGACACATTGGTGTGCTGTATACAGGAGACCCATCTCACGTGCAAAGACACACATAGGCTCAAAATAAAGGGATGGAGGAATATTTACCAAGCAAATGGAAAGCAAAAAAAGCAGTGGTTGCAATCCTAGTCTCTGATAAAACAGATTTTAAATCAACAAAGATCAAAACAGACAAAGAAGGGCATTACATAATGGTAAAGGGGTCAACGCAACAAGAAGAGCTAACTGTCCTAAATATATTTGCACCCAATACAGGAGCACCCAGATTCACAAAGCAAGTTCTTAGAGACGTACAAAGAGACTTAGACTCCCACACAATAACAGTGGGAGACTTTAACACCCCATTGTCGATATTAGATCAACAAGACAGAAAATTAACAAGGACATTCAGAACTTGAATTCATCTCTGGACCACATGGACCTAATAGACATCTACAGAACTCTCCACTCCAAATCAACAGAATATACATTCTTCTCAGCACCACATCGCACTTATTCTAAAAGTGACCACATAATTGGAGGTAAAACACTCCTCAGCAAATGCAAAAGGACGGAAATCATAACAGTCTCTCAGACCACAGTGCAAACAAATTAGAACTCAGAATTAAGAAACTTACTCAAAACCTCACAACTACATGGAAACTGAACAACCTGCTCCTGAATGACTACTGGGTAAATAATGAAATTAAGGCAGATATACATAATTTGAAACCAATGAGAACAAAGATACAACATACCAGAATCTCTGGGACACAGCTAAAGCAGTGTTTATAGGGAAATTTATAGCAATAAATGCCCACAGGAGAAAGCAGGAAAGATCTAAAACGGACACCCTAACATCACAATTAAAAGAACTAGAGAAGCAAGAGCAAACAAATCCAAAAGCTAGCAGAAGACAAGAAATAACTAAGATCAGAGCAGAACTGAAGGAGATAGAAACACGAAAAACCCTTCAAAAACTTAATGAATCTAGGAGCTGGTTTTATGAAAAGATTAACAAAATAGACTGCTAGTGAGACTAATAAAGAAGAAAAAGAAGAATCAAATAGACACAATAAAAAATGATAAAGGGGATATCACCACTACCCCACAGAAATACAAACCACCATCAGAGAATAATATAAACACCTCAATGCAAATAAACTAGAAAATCTGAGGAAATGGATAAATTCCTGGACACATACACCCTCCCAAGACGAAACCAGGAAGAAGTCGAATCCCTGAATAGACCAATGACACGTTCTGAAATTGAGGCAGTAATTAATAGCCTACAAACCCAAAAAAAGTCCAGGACCAGATGGATTCACAGCCAAATTCTATGCGAGGTACAAAGAGGAGCTGGTACCATTCCTTCTGAAACTATTCCAATCAATAGAAAAAGAGGGACGCCTCCTTAACTCATTTTATGAGGCCAGCATCACCCTTACACCAAAACCTGGCAGAGACATAACAGAAAAAGAAAATTTCAGGCCGATATCCCTGATGAACATCAATGGGAAAATCCTCAATAAAATACTGGCAAACCGAACGCAGCAGCACCTCAAAAATCTTATCCACCATGATCAAGTGGGCTTCATCCCTGGGATGCAAGGCTGGTTCAACATACGCAAATCAATAAACATAATCCATCTGGTAAACAGAACCAATGACAAAAAACACATGATTATCTCAATAGATGCAGAAAAGGCTTTTGATAAAATTCAACACCCCTTCATGCTAAAAACTCTCAATAAACTACGTATTGATGGAACATATCTCAAAATAATAAGAGCTATTTATGACAAACCCATAGCCAATATTGTACTGAATGGGCAAAAGCTGGAAGCATTCCCTTTGAAAACCGGCACAAGACAAGGATGCCCTCTCTCACCACTCCTATTCAACATAGTATTGGAAGTTCTGGCCAGGGCAATCAGGCAAGAGAAAGAAATAAAGGTTATTCAAATGGAAAAAGAGGAAGTCAAATTGCCTCTGTTTGCAGATGACATGATTGTGTATTTAGAAAACCCCATCATCTCAGCCCAAAATCTCCTTATGCTAGTAAGCAACTTCAGCAAAGTCTCAGGATAAAAAATCAATGTGCAAACATCACAAGCATTCCTATATACCAATAATAGACAGACAGAGAGCCAAATCATGAGTGAACTCCCATTCACAATTGCTACAAAGAGAACAAAATACCTAGGAATACAACTTACAAGGAATATGAAGGACCTCTTCAAGGAGAACTACAAACCACTGCTCAAGGAAATAAGAGAGGACACAAACAAATGGGAAAACATTTCATGCTCATCGATAGGAATAATCAATATTGTGAAAATGGCCATACTGCCCAAAGTAATTTATAAATTCATTGCTATCCCCATCAAGCTACCATTGACTTTCTTCACAGATTTGGAAAAAACTACTTTAAATTTCATATGGAATCAAAAAAAGGCCCACATAGCCAAGACAATACTAAGCAAAAAGAACAAAGCTGGAGGCATCATGCTACCTGACTTCAAACTATACTGCAAGGCTACAGTAACCAAAACAGTAAGGTACTGGTACCAAAACAGATATATAGACCAATGGAACACAACACAGACCTCAGAAATAACACCACATGTCTACAACCTTCTGAGCTTTGACAAACCTGACGAAAACAAGCATTGGGGAAAAGATTCCCTATTTAATAAATGGTGTTGGGAAAACTGGCTAGCCATAGGCGGAAAACTGAAACTGGACCCCTTCCTTAAACCTTACACAAAGATTAACTCAAGATGGATTAAAGATTTAAATGTTAGACCTAAAACTATAAAAACCTGAGAAGAAAACCTAGGCAATACCATTCAGGACATAGGCATGGGCAAAGACCTCATGACTAAAACACCAAAATCAATGGCAACAAAAGCCAAAATAGACAAATGGGAACTAATTAAACTAAAGAGCTTCTGCACAGCAACAGAAACTATCATCCAAGTGAACAGGCAACTTACAGAATGGGAGAAAATTTTTGCAATCTATCCATCTGACAAAGGGCTAATATCCAGAATCTACAAAGAACTTAAACAAATTTACAAGAAAAAACAAACAACCCCATCAAAAAGTGGGCAAAGGATATGAGCAGACACTCCTCAAAAGAAGACATTTATACAGCCCACAAACATATGAAAAAAACTCATCATCACTGGCCATTAGAGAAATGCAAATCAAAATCACAATGAGATACCATCTCACACCAGTTAGAATGACAGTCATTAAAAAATCAGGAAACAACAGATGCTGGAGAGGATGTGGAGAAAGAGGACTGTTTTTACACTGTTGATGGGAGTGTAAATTAGTTCAACCATTGTGGAAGACAGTGTAGCAATTCCTCAAGGATCTAGTACCAGAAATACCATTTGACCCAGCAATCCCATTACTGGGTATATACCCAAAGGATTATAAATCATTCTACTATAAAGACACATGCACACATATATTTATTGCCACACTGTTCACAATAACAAAGACTTGGAACTAACCCAAATGCCCATCAATGATAGACTGGATAAAGAAAATGTGGCACACATATACAATGGAATACTATGCAGCCATAAAAAAGGATGAGTTCATGTCCTTTGCAGGGACATGGATGAAGCTGGAAACCATCATTCTCAGCAAACTAACACAGGAATAGAAAACCAAACACCGCATATTCTCACTCAGAAGTGGGAGTTGAACAATGAAAACACATGGACACAGGGAGGGTAACATCACACACCAGGGCCTGTTGGGGGATGGGGGGCTAGGGGAGGGATAGCATTAGGAAAAATGCCTGTAGATGACGGGTTGATGGGTGCAGCAAACCACCATGGCAGGTGTATACCTATGTAACAAACCTGCATGCTCTGCATATGTATCCCATAACTTAAAGTATAATAATAAAAAGAAGATAAATATTTAAAAAGAAATTGAAGTGATTTTGGTATGTTGATTTTGTATTCCACAATTTTATTGAATTAATTTATTACCTCTGGCAGTTCTTTGTTTTCTTTTTTGTTTGTAGCCTTTAGGATTTTCTACATAGAAAATTATGTCATCTGCAAATAAGATAATTTCATTTCTTCCTTTCTGATATGTACATCTTTTATTTCTTTTTTCTTGCCTAATTGCTCTGGTTAGGACTTTCAGTACTGTTCTGAATAGAAGTGATAAGAATGGGCATCCTTGCCTTGTTCCTAAATGAGAGAAAAAACTTTCAGTTTTTAGTCACTGAGTATGATGTCATCTGTGAGTTTTTTATATAAGACCTTTATTATGTTAAAGTATTTCCTTCTATTCCTGGTTGTTAAGCCTTTTCATTATAAAATAATGTTGAATTTTATCAAATGCTGTTTCTGATATGAAATGATAATGTGGGTTTTATCCTTCATTCTTTCAATGTGGTGTATCACATTAATTAAGTTTTGTTTGTTGAAACAGTCTTGCATTCAAGGGATAAATCTCATTTGAGAATTGGATAATATTGTAAGATACTTTTTAATGTGCTGTCGAATTTGGTTTGTCAGTATTTTGTTGAGGATTTTTGTATCTATGCTCACTAAGGATATTGGCTTGTAATTGTCTTTCTTGTAGCATCTTTGTCTGAAATTGATATTAAGGTAATGATGGCTTTATAAAATGAGTTTAGAGGTGTTCTCTCTTCAGTTTTTTGGAAGAGTTTGAGAAGGATTGGTATTAATTCTTCTATAAATGGTTGGTAGAATTTGCCAGTGAAGCTATCAGGTCCTGAGCTTTTCTTTGTAGGAAGGTTTTTGACTATTGATCCAATGTCCTTACTCATTATCATCTCTTCAGACTTTCTACTTTTCCATGATTCAGTCTCAGTAGATTGTGTGTTTCTAGAAATTTATCTATTTCTTCTAGGTTATTTTTTTTTTGGTGTAGAACTACTTATACTAGTCTCTTATCATCTTTGGTATTTCTGTGGTATCAGTTAAAATATCTCCTCTTTATGATTTTATTTATTTTTCTCTTCTCTTAGTTGAGCTAAAGGTTTGTCAATTTTACTTATCTTTTAAAAAATCAACTCTTTCTGTTGTTGATTTTTTTCTTTTGATTTTCTATTCTCTGTTTAGTTTATCTGCTTTATTCTTTATTATTTTCCTTCTTCTACTAACTTTGGTCTTAGTTTGTTTTTCTTTTTGTAGTTCTTTGAGGTATAAAGTTAAGTTGTTGGAGATCGTTTCCAATGCAAGTATTTATTGCTATAAGCAGTCCTCTTATTTCTGCTTTTGTTGCGTCTCATAAGTTTTGACATGTTATGTTTTTGTTTTTATTTGTCTGGAGACATTTTCTAATTTCTCTTTTGGTTTCCTTTGGCCTATTTGTGGTTTAAACATGTTTAATATCCACATATTTGTGTACTTTACAGTTTTTCATTTGCTATTGATTTCTACTTTTATCCCATTATGGTTGGGAAAATTAATTTTTTCAAATTTAGTCTTTGTAAATTTGTTAACACTTGTTTTATGACCTAACATAGGATCTATTTTGGAGACTATTCCATGTGCACTTGAGAGTATATTTTCTGCTGCTGTTGGGTGAAATGTTCTGTTTATATCTGCTAGGTTCATTTGGTCTATAGTGTTTTTCAAGTCTGCTGTTTCTTATTTATTTTCTGTCTAGATGCTTTATCCATTATTGAAAGTGGGTGCATTAATCCATTCTCACACTGCTATAAAGAAATACCTGAGGGTGGGTAATTTATAAAGAAAAGAGGTTTAATTGGCTCACGGTTCTGCAGTCTGAACAGGAAGTATGACTGGGGAAGCCTCAGCACATTTACAATCATGATGGAAGGTGAAAGGGAAGCAGGCATGTCTTACATGGCAGGAGCAGGAGAAAGAGAAAAAGGGGAGATGCATCACACTTTTTAAACAATGAGCTCTTGTGAGAATTCAGTCACTATCACAAGAACAGCAAGGGAGAAATCTGCCTCCATGATCCAGTCATCTCCCACCAGGCCCTTCATCAAACATTGGGGATTACAATTAGACATGAAATTTGTGTGGGGACACAAATCCAAGCCATGTCAGTGAGATATTGAAGTCTTCTAGTATTATTGTGCTGCCAGTTCTCCCTTCAATTTTATCAACATTTGCTTTATGTGTTTAGGTGCTTTAATGTTGAGTGCATATATATTTATAATTGTTATATCTTTCTGGTAAATTGATTCTCTTGTCATTATATAATGTCCTTCTTTGTCTCTTGTGACAGTTTTTGACCAACAATCTGTTTTGTCTAAGTATAGCCACCTCTGCTTTTTTGGTCACTGTTTGTATGGAATATCTTTTTCTGTCTCTTCACTTTCAGCTTACATATGTTCTTCAATCTAAAGTGAGTCTCTTGTACACAGTATATAACTGAATGTGAGTTTTTAAAATTTATTCAGCTACTCTGTGTCTTTTGATTGCGGAGCTTAATTCACATGCATTTAAAATAATTATTGTTAGAAAAGGACTTACTACTGTCATTTTGTTAATTGTTTTCTGTTTGTCTTGTAGTTCTTTTGTTTTTCTTTACCTCTCTTGATATCTTCTTTTGTGTTTTGTTTATTTTTTATTGATATGGTGTGATTTCTTTCCATTTTTTTGTTTATCTTTTATAGGTTATTTTCTTTGTGGTCACCATTGGCTTTACATGCAACAACTGATAGTTATAAAAGTCTATTTCAAGCTGATAACTTCAACAAATGCAAAAATTCTATGTTTTTACTCCTCCTCCCCCCACACTTTGTTGTTGATTTCATAATTTATATCTTTTTCTGTTGTGTATCTACTAACATATAGTTTTAATTTTTTATACTTTTATATTTAAACATTTATACCAGATTTAAAAGTGATTTACCTACCACTAGTACAGTATCACAGTATTCTGTATTTGTCTTTATATTAACCATTACCAGACAGTGTTGTACTTTTACATGCATTTTCATTACCATTTAGCATCATTTTGTTTCAATGTAAAGAACTCCTTTTATTATTCTTATAAGGCAGGGCTTGTAGTGATAAACTCCTTCAGCTTTTTCTTAGCTGGGAAAGCCTATCTTTTCATTTTTTAAGGGCAGTACTGCCAGGTATTATGTTTTCGGTTAGCAGTTGTTTATTTATTTCAGCACTTTGAATATATCTTCTATTGTTTTCTGGCCAACAATGTTTCTACTGAGAAATCCACTGGTAGTCTTATGTAGGTTTACTTGTACTTGGTATGTCACTTTTCTCTGGCTTCTTTTAAAATTCTCTCTTTGTCTTTGACTTTGGACAATTTGATTATAATGTTTCTCATTAATGGTTTTTTTAATTTTACCTCATTTGGATTCCATTGGGCTGCTTGGATCTGGATGTCTATGTCCTTCTTAATATTTGGAATGTTTATGATCACTATTTATTTGAATAAGCTCTCTTTCTCTGTCTCTCTCTCTCTTCTCCTTCCTAGATGGCTATAATGAGTATATTGGTCAGCTTGAAGGTATCACATAAGTTCCTTTCTTCACTTTTTTCTTTTTTTTTTTTTTGCCTCCTCTGACTGAATAATTTTTTTCAATAATCTTTTTGAGTTATCTGATATTTTCTTCTACTTTATCTAGCCTGCTATTGAAGACTTGAGTGAATTTTTAGGTTCAGTTATTGTATTCTTCAGCTCTATAATTTCTGTTTTTTAATATACTTTTTTACACTCTCACTTTTGTTTATGCATTGTTCTCCTGACATCATTAAACATCTTATGGTTGTTTTCAGTTATCTATTAAATATATCTTATATCTCTGTTTCATTAGGGTTAGTTTCTGGAGATTTATTTTATTATTTTGTTTGGAACATATATTCCTGTTTCTTCAATTTTTTTGACTCTTAGTGTGGCTCTGCCTATTAGACAAAACAGCCAACTCTCTCACCCTTCATGCATTTTTCTCATATGCAAAAGACCCTTAATAATCAGCCCAGTCAGATTCTTGGGGCCTCTTAAACCTTTGTGCTAGTTCAAACCACCATCTTTATTCTCGGTGCCCCTCAAGTGTCTAGAATATGCTGAGTCCTGTAAGCACTCTAAGACGGGTAAGATGAAAGGCAGTGCCTTGGGTAAATTTTATTTAAAAAATAAATATATGGTTTCTTCCTTTTTTTCCATCCCCTGAGAGTAGCCAAAGAGCTGTCATTTTTTGCACTTGCTTGCTTAACACTGAGCTAGGGGGTGAGACTGTGGCACCTGCTAGCTTGCTAGTTCAATTTATGGTCTTTATTCTTAGTGGCCCCCAGGTGACTAAAGTTTGCCAGGTCTCTTAAGTGCTCTGAGACAGGTGAGACAAATTCCAGTGCTTCAAGTAGCTTCCCAAAAATGAGAATATTGGACATATGGTCCAGCTTTTGCCTTCCCTCTCCCATGGAGAAGTTGGAAGCTGGGGATTCCCTTCTGATCATACGGTACCATGTTGGGAGAAAGACTTATGGCAAAAGGGTGTCTCAGATACTCCCACCAGCTTTGGTGTTGCTGGTTTCACACTTGCCTGGGATGCAGGAGCCTCTCAACTAGTTTCTTGATTTCTCACTCTGTATATTTTTGCTAAATTGATGTCTCTTGAGGGAGAAGGAAGGGTCAGGATTTCCTATTTTGCCATCTTGCTGACATCACTCCAGAAACATATTTTTATCAAAACTGAAGTTTAATACATATAGTTAAGCTATTGCCATTGTGTTTGACGTGGCCAAAGCCTGTAATCAGAGACAAATTCATAGCCTTGAACACTTTCATTATTTAAAAAAACAAACAAGGAAAGAAAGAAAAAGTGATAATGACAGAGGTATGAACTACCCATTCTATGCAAAATGATAGGAAAAAAGATAATAAATATGACAATAGTAGGGAAACTCTGTCAATAAAGGTAAAATGAGAAATTAATTCATCAAAAATGTTCAAAAGCATATAATTATTATAATAAAAAAAACCCTTCCAGGAAATGAGTATATTCTTAAAAATATAATTTGGCTGAATTGACTCCAAATAAAGCTGAAAACCTAAACAGAGAAAAATCTATGGAAGATTTTGGGGAGAACCTTGAGAAAGTTTTTTTCTCTGCTGATCTTTTTGGTATTGTATTTAATATTTCATATGTACTTTGAATCTCTATGGATGGGTTAGTACATAGAATTCACAGGGTTATTTGATTTTGAGAATTTACTGTGGAAGCTGTGTTCATGAAAAAAATTGGGAAATGCTGCTATCGATAGACTTCACTATGAATGTAGAAAGGGTGATTACAAAGTACTAGAAAATTAAATTCAATGGTATATTAAAAGAATTCAAAGTCTGTTTAATATTAGGCAATCTATTAAATCATCACTTTAATACCACCATATGCTAATCTTAATATATTGCCTAAAAGTGAGTAAGAGTTATTTATACACTTATTTAAGGTTTCTTAAAGCTTTTAGAAAATAAAGAATATAATATACTCTTCATGTGATTCTCTTTTTTTTTTTCTTTTGAGATGGAGTTTCACTCTTGTTGCCCAGGCTGGAGTGCAATGGCGTAATCTTGGCTTACTGCAACCTCTGCCACCCGGGTTCAAGTGATTCTCCTGCCTCAGCCTCCCGAGTAGCTGGGATTACAGGCATAAGCCACCACGCCCGGCTAATTTTTGTATTTTTAGTGGAGACGGGGTTTCTCCATGTTGGTCAGGCTGTTCTTGAACTCCCGACCTCAGGTGATCCACCCACCTCGGCTTCCCGAAGTGCTAAGATTACAGGCATGAGCCACCACGCCTAGCCTTCTTTATGTGATTCTTAATCCAACAAACAACAACATACTGAATAGTAAATAACACTTTAGAGCATCATTTTCATGTAATATTTTGGGAAGTTCTGGCCAATGAAATATATATGAAATATATATGAAATGAGTGCTTCTGAAAATAAGGAAGAAAATTTTAATTTGCTTATGTTTTGTGGGATAATATATCTAAAAACAGAAAGTCAATTAAAAAATGCTTACAAGCTTAAGTTTAAGGAGCAAAACATGAGATAAATATGTAAATAGTAGTAGTTTCTTATGTTAGTAATAAGTTATTAGATGGCATAATAGGAATAGATTTCTTTTATCAAAGCTACAATGAAAAAAATTTATAAAATACCTGGGAATGATCTTGAAAAGCATAGGGTTTAAAAGCAATGAGTGGATAAAGAAACTGAGAAAGAGAGAGAGAGAGAGAGAATTATATATTATATATTCCATCCAATATATTGTATATAATATAGAATATATATTTATATTCCATTATATATATTTATATGAATATTAATATATTATATACATAATATATAATACATTTATATTCCATTTTATATGTAATATTTATATATGATATATATTTATATTTACCCTTTCCCCCAAGTTCCCAAAGTCCATTGTATCATTCCTATGCCTTCGCGTACTCATAGCTTAGCTCCCACTTATGAGTGAGAATGTACAGTGTTTGGTTTTCCATTCCTGAGTTACATCACTTAGAATGGTAGTCTCCAGTTCCATCCAGGTTGCTGTGAATGCCACTGATTCATTCCTTTTTGTGACTGAGTAGTATTCCATTTTATTTTATTTTTAAAATATCTCTAGTTGTATTTTTATAACTCCCCAGTTTATTTTGAAATATATGATTTTGACATTATCTCAAAATACACATAAATTACCTATATCTGCCTATACATTTATTAAAAACTGATGAAGAATACTTAATCAATATTTAAGCATGCCAAATAATAAAACTATTCCCAACTTTTTAAATTTAAATTATTTTTAAAAATAAACCAATTTATATTGGATATTTGGGTTACATGTGCATATAAAAACAGTCATATTCCCCAACTGACCATAGATAGACTAGCATACAAGTGTCCTTCTTTCTGGATGTAATTAAGTTTCAGAGGCAAAGTGGTTCAGATGGAAGCCAATGAGCTGACTTCCTCATGAAGTAAACTCAACAAAAATCATGAAGTATTGGTGCTAATGAGTGATTCCATAAATGTTTCCCTCTTCCTTATCTTTTCAATATACAAGTGTGCACTATGGGTGTGTATAAATTAAAACACTTCTAATCTAGACTGTGAGCTCCTACGGAGGGGACTACTGTCAATCCATAAAAGGCCCTGGGGAAGAAAGAGGTAGCATAGGGGAGCAGAGGGCACCTGCCCTCCATCAGGCCATCCACACAAACCTATTGAAGAGGTAGACTCGATTATCTAAGTCTCAGTGGACTTAGATGTTGACTTGGGCCTTCAAGTAAGGTTTTCCTTCATTATGTTTTATGTTGCTTTTTCTACTATTTTTGTAATTGGGGCAAGTGAGATGTTCAACTAGTCTAAGAATGTTTAATATATCCCATAAACTGTCTGAATCAAAGATTTTTATTTATTCTTCTGCCAGACACAACTGATTTCCATCTACAATTATTTTTTAAGGTAAGAAACAGTAAGTCAACTGAACAAAGAGCTGGGGCTTTGGGCTCTGGAACATGATTACACACCGACTGAGAAATGCAGCACCTCAGGGTTGGGTCTAGTCAGGCTGGCCGCAGCAGGGCACGAAGCTGCCTCAGTGGGCCTTCTCCAAGAACGCTCTGTAGCACCTGACACACAGCTGGTACACCATCTCAAAGTCAGAGTCATTCCCATAATAGGGATCTTCAATAATAAGTTGTTTTTGTGGATCATAGCTCCCAAGTAGCTCAATTTTAGCTTTGCAGGTTTTAACTTGATTACTTTTTCTATTCAAATCTCTCAGATTGCTATCATCCATACATGGTATATAATCAAATTTGGCAAAATTTTCTTTGGTAATCTGCCGGGCAACGTGGCTCATGGGAATGCCGTGCCTCTCCGTGAAGCTCTGCCCTCGGGAGTCAGGAGGGGTTCCCTATCTCCTACCCGGAAGTCGCTGGGTAAGAGATAGGGAATTATAATTACATATAATATAAACATATATATAATTATATAATATATTATATATAAATATAATATAATATATAATATATAAATATAACATATAATTATATAATATATACTTATATATAATATATAGATATACAATATATATTTAGATATTTTATATAATATATAATAAATATAAAAATATTATATATAATATATAATATAAAAATATTATTATATATAATCTATTTATATTTATTATATATAACATATTACATATTATATATAATAAATATAAATACATATTGTTTATATATTGTTATATGTAACTATATATAAATATTATATATAACATGGAATATAAATATAAGAAAGGAAATAAATATATATTATATATATAAAATGGAATACTACCCCGCCATAAAAAGGAATGGACCAATGGCATTCACAGCAACCTGGATGAGATTGGAGACTATCATTCTAAGTGATGTAACTCAGGAATGGAAAACCAAACATTATACATTCTCACTCATAAGTGGGAGCTAAGCTATGAGTATGCGAAGGCATAGGAATGATACAATGGACTTTGGGGACTTGGGGGAAGGGTATGGAGGGGTAAAGGATAAAAGACTACAAACTGGGTTCAGTGTATACCACTTGGGTGATGCGTGCACCAAAATCTCACAAATCACCATTAAAGAACTTACTTGTGTAACCAAATACCACCTGTTTCCCAAAAATCTATGAAAATAATTTTTTTTAAAAAAAACAAATAAAAGTTACTAAAGCTATTAAAAAATTGAATAACTGTCTCCCATTGCATATGAAAATCTTTGGTAAATAAATAAAAAGATTTATGCCACAGTAGAAAAAAATGGACAAAAGCCATTTAAAAATAATTCACTGAAGGAATACAAATGGTCAATCAATATAATGAAAATATTCAACCTCTTAATCAGAAAAATAAGAAGTAAAATAAAATGGCTATAAATTGCTAAAATTAGATAATTTAAAGTATAATACTCAATAGTGATGAAGATTTAGAGAGAGGAGCATTCCATTATACTGCCAATGGAATTACAAATCGGGACAGTTTCTCAGGAAAAATAAATTGGCCATATAAGTGAAGAATCTTCAAAATGTTCCTAGCCCTTGATCAGTAATAATATTCCTAACAATCTAACTCAAAGAAATAGTTAGAGATGAGGCCAAAGAGTTATGTACAAGGTTTTAACTGCAATATTTATGACAGGGAAAGCACAGCTAATAAATTATACAAAAATGGAGAAATTATATAATAAATTGAAATACATTCAAAAATGAAAAATTGCATAGTCATTATAATTGCATTTTTAGGGAATATCAATAGAAATGGAAATTAACCATCATATAATTAAACTAAAAAGTGCTCCATATAATCAAATATGTATTATGCATATTATATAATAAATACATAAAATTAAAGTTTTGTTCAAAAACTGTATGTGTGATTAAAATTTTAACCCTTTAAGATACAAAATAGAGGCTTAAATTATATTTTTATTTTATTCTTTATACTTGTCTATGCTCTATAAATGTCTAGAATGAGCATGTAATACTTCTAAAGGAAGAATCATGCTATAAATTTTTTAAGTGTCTATAATCTATTAAAAATAAAATTGGGGATAATGAAGATGGCTATAATGTATAAAATAACTGAAAAACAAGCATTTGCAAAATGAAAAGACAGTAAGATGGAAGGAAATTAGCTTAAAGACTTTTAAACATGAACATTGGGTATAAGAAACAATGAAATATAATTTGACTCAGCAATCCCATTATTGGGTATACACCCAAAGGATTACAAATCATTCTTCTATAAAGACACATGCACACATATGTTTACTGCAGCACTGTTCACAATAGCAAAGACTTGGAACCAACACAAATGCCCATCAATGATAGACTGGATAAAGAAAATGTGGCACATATACACCATGGAATACCATGCAGCCATGAAAAAGGATGAGTTCATGTCTTCTACAGGGACATGGATAAAGCTGGAAACCATAGTTCTCAGCAAACTAACACAGGAACAGAAAACCAAACACTGCATGTTCTCACTCGGAAGTGGGAGTTGAACAATAAGAACACATGGACACGGGGAGGGGAACATCACACACGGGGGCCTGTCGAGGGGAAGGGCCCTAGGGGAGGGATAGCATTAGGAGAAATACCTAATGTAGACGACGGGGTTGATGGGTGCAGCAAACCATCATGGCACGTATATACTATGTAACAAACCTGCACGTTCTGCACATGTATCCCAGAACTTAAAGTAAAAAAAAAAAAAAAAAAGCAAAAATGTTTCACAGTAATACAGTATAAAAACATCTAATAAAAAACCTTTAATACACATATGAGAGTCTTGTGAGAAAATACCAAAAATGTATCAACACTAAAAGCTTTGAAGGACTGACAACCCACAAGAAATACAGCCATTCTGTACAAAAAGCATAAGAGCTTTTTCTTAATTAATAATTCTTTATCAACTACTGTGACTATATGTATGTGTATTGTAACTCTGAAAGCCTGATTCAGTCTTTATAAATACATTCATATTGCTACTTAAGGACAAAAGTTCTCCATGATGCACTTAATATTTCTCCTTCTTTAGGGTCAGCAATCCCAGATATGACAGAAAATCCATGCACTGGAAAATATTATATGAAAACAGCGTTGTAAAGCTTTATTTGTTTATGTACTTTTATAAGAGATAAATTCCCATGAACTTATCTATTCATTAAAAGACCTATTCATTAAAAGACCTAAAAGTTCTATTCATTAAAAGACCAATTTTAAATATGGTAGCTAGGTATTATATTCATGTTTTACCTTTAAGGTGAGCATGTGTGGATAAGGAACTGGGAATTAACCCAAGAAAGAACGCACCACATCTGTCTGCCTGAGACCTGAAGAGATGACAATCATAGTGATTCACATTTATTCCATATGTTTATTCACATTTTTCCTATTTGTTGTTTTTAGGCTAGAATATAGAATAAGTAACTCCATCTACAGGCAGACCAAAATTGCATTAACTTTAAAAAACTACATAAAATGTTTATTCACATAGACAAAATCACTTTAAATATTTCAGACACTCAGCTCCACTAAACCGTATCTAAGCGATGATTAGTCTAATCATATCGGGAAGACTGTGGCACAAGTCAAGTAAATGACTTGCACCACCCTAAAACAAAGTAGCAATATGGAAAGCAAATAAAAGAATTATAAATAATGTTTTCAGATGCCTTCAGGTCGGTATAGTTAATGATAAAACGGTTGTCTAAGTCAGTCTTTTCCCCCTTCTCCTCTTGTAAGTTACACAAAAGCAACAAAGAGGAAAAAGTAACCCTCCAAATTGTATTTTTCCAAGCTGAGGAAGATGTAATTTACAGATTCAAAATTATATGTATGGGCTACAAAAGGCTGACATTGGGCCAAATCTATGCAGAGAGAAAGAAAGGGAAATAATGTAAAAAGTAGCAAGAGGATTCAGAGGAAGATTGTCCATTGCACACAGGGTGATCAAAGACAAAAAAAAAAAAAAAAGAAAAGCCACCTTCTCATCAGAAACAATAGATGAGAGAAAACAACAGCAAAAAGTGAATGACAGTTTTAGAGTGCTGAAAGTAAAAATCAGCCAACCTAGAATACCAGTGAGAATATTTTGCAAAAATGAAGGTAAACTAAAAATTCACAGTAAACAAAAGCTGAGAGAATTCTTTCCCATCAGATCCACCTTGAAGCAAATGCTGGAGGACATATTTCAGGCTAAAAGAAAAGGATGTCAGTTGGGAACTCCTGCCAAAAAACAGATCCAAAAGAAGACTGAATCATTGATACGGTAAATTATTTGTGAATATATGAGAAAGATGTCTTCTTTACTTAATTTATTTAAAAGAAAATTGATTATTAAAAGCAAAAGTATTAGTAATGTGTTGTAGAATAATTAGAAGTAAAAATATGACGGCAATAGCACAAAGGGATTCTACATATCCTACATTATGTAATGTTCTTATGATATATGAGAGGTAGTTTAATATTATTTCAACTTGAACTGTAATAAGTTACAGGTAAAAATTGCAATCACTAGAGCAATCAATAAAAAATACAAATAGTTATAGGTGAAATACCAATAGATGAGATAAAATAAAATATTAAAAAGTTCTTGATTATCTCCCAAGAAACCATGACAAAGCAGAGGGGGAAGTAGGAAACAAAAAGAAGATGATAAACCTAAACCCAGCATATGAATAATTATATTAAATATAAATGGAATAAATACTCAAACTAAAAGGAGGATTTGTTGGATACAAATTTTTGAATTTGTTGAATAATAATGTAAGTTACAAATATATACTGTCTATAAGAAATATACTTTGAATATAAAGACACAGGCAGATTGAAAGTAATATGTGAGAAAAAATATACCACACAAACACCAACCAAAAGAAATCTGGGATACTAACAATTGACCAAAGTAGTCCTTAAGAAAGGGAGCATTACCAGATATTAAAAATTTCATAATCATAAAAGGGTCAATTAATCAAAAAGGTGTAACAATTTTAACTGTATAGAAAATCCTAAAAAATTTATGATAGCTAACATATAATTTTTATTATAGCTAACATATTAATTCAGCAAATATACAGGATACAAGGTCAACACATAAAAGTCAGTTATATTTCCATATACTAACAAGAAATGATGCTAACAGGAAATTAAGAAAAAAAATCAAGTCACAAAGAGAATCCAAAGAATAAAACACTTAGGAAAACATTTAAATAAGAAGGTGCAAGACTTGAATACTGAAAACTATAAAAGTGCTGAAAAAAATGAATAAAATCTAAGTAAATGGAAAAACATCCCATGTTCATGAAATGGACAGCTTAATATTATTCAGATGGCAGTACTATCCAAAGTGATCTACAGATTCAATGCAATCCCAATAAAAATCCCAATGGCCTTTTTTCTTGCATTAATGGAAAAGCTGATTCTAAAATTCATGTGGAATTGCATATGACTTCAAAAAGCCAAAATAATCTTGAAAAAGAAAAAGAAAAATTTGGAGGACTCATAGATTCTGATTTCAAAACCTACTACAAATCTACGACAATCAGTACAGTGTGGTACTGGCATAAAAATAAACCTATAGGTCAGTATCATAGAACTGAGAGTCCAGAAATAAACCCACGCATTTATGGTTAATTGGTTTATGACAAAGATGATAAAGCCATACAACAGGGAAAATATAATTTCTTTAACAAATGGTCCTGGGGCAACTGGGTATCCGCATGCACGAGAGTAAAGTTGGTTCCCTACTTTACAACTTCAAAAAATCACCTATAAAACCGTAAAACTCTTAGAAAAAAACATAGGAGTAAATCTTCATGACCTTAGGTTTGGCAATAGTTTTCTAGAAATGATACCCAAAGCACAAGCCACAAAAGAAAAAAAACAATAGGTAAGTTGGACTTTATCCAAATTAGAAGCTGTTGCGCATCAAAGGACACTGTCAGGAACATGAAAAAGAAAATAAAACAACAGAAAAATAAAACCACCTAAAGGGTAGGAAAAAGCATTTACAGATCACTTGTCTCATAACAAATAAGGTTCTAATCCAGAATGTATAAAGAACTCTTACAACTTGACAACAAAAAGACAAACAACTTTATGCCTTGTAGGATGGCTAAAATAGAATAAAGTACAAATGGAAAGCAAAAGTTGATAAAGATGTGGAGAAATTGGAACCATCATACATTGCTTGGAATGTAAAATGATGCAGCCATAGTTTGGCAGTTTCTTAAATATTTAGCCATTAATTTATCATACAATTCAGTAATTCTTAGATATCTATCTAAAAGAAATGAAAACAAATGTCCATACAAAGACTTTCACGCAAATCTTCTTAGCAGCTTTTCAAAGACAGTGATGCAGAGAGGGCGCATGCAAGATTGCTAGCTAGATGGAGGCTCACGTAAGGTAAAGTAATCACGGGATGACAACCTCCCATAGCCTTTGTTGTATTCCATCAGTTAGAGGTAAGTTGCAGGAAAGCGTGTGAACACTAGAAGGTGGAATGATTAGGGGGTCACATTTGTGCCTATTTGCCAGTTTCCTTCTCAGTAAAGGATTCCCTTATTATCATTCCACCCTCATCTACTCTCATCCCTATTACTCTATGTCCTCTCTCCTGTTTTATTTCTTCTCAATAGTACTTATAAGTCCCTATCTGACATTACTGTACATATTTGTTCGCTCATTGTCTTTTTCCTATGCTAGAATACAAGCTCCATGGGGTAAGGATCTTCTCAGTTTACTATTGCATATTCCAACCCCTAGAAATGTGCCTGATGCATAATAGTTGAGAATGAATGAATGCATGACTTTAAAGCAAGGTATTTTTTTAAAGCAGGGCATTGTGTAAACTGTATTCAGGAAAATTATTCTGGCTACTTGGGCAGGAAAGAAGAAAGGCTAAAGGCAGAGAGATCAGTCATGTGGCCATCACAGCAGTCCAAATGCCTAAAAGCAGGGATTTGAAGGGAGCTGAAGCCCAGGCAATGGCAATGGACCTGAGACACAGCAGGGGAAACGAGTTTGGTGGGTGTGTGGACAGAGGTGACCAGCTGCATCAGGGCATGGTGGGGAAGGTCTAGAACTCTGAGAGGCTACCTCTTTCCCTCTCTACTATCCACTTCTGCCCCAGCTCATCCCCATTTCCCAAGTCATGGCAGCTGTTTGGGCTGCCACACTCTGTTGTAGTGAGAGGGAAACTAGCCGTGTTAAGTGAGGGCCAAGTTCTGTGCACATACTGCCCCTCTGAAGACAGGGTGGGCCTGTGATGGGTTAGGGGATTGCATCTTTTTACAGGGAAGACTGGCTGGGGCAGACAAAACCTCCCTCAAAGCGAATCTCTTTACGTTTTTTAAATAAATTTTTTAGATACAGAGTCTCACTCTTTTGCCCAGGCTGGAGTGCAGTGGCACGATCCTAGCTCACTGCACCCTCAAACTCCTGGGCTCAAGTGATCCCCCTGCCTCAGTTTCCTGAGTAGCTGGGACTACAGGTGTGTACCAACATGCCTAACTAATGTTTAAAATTGTTTATAGAGATGAGGTCTCGCCATGTTGCTCAGGCTGGTATTAAATTCCTAGCTTCAAGTGATCCTCTTGCCTCAGCCTCCCAAAATGATGGGATTACAGGCATGAGCCACCACACTCAGCCAAAGTAAATTTTGACTGATGTCTGCAACCACCACCTAGGGAGCATTCCAGCTTAATTACGTCATCAGATCTGGAAGCGTGATTTAGTCATGGTTCACGGGCTGTCTGCAGTCAGCAGGGAGCATCTGTCGTATTTACGGAAGAGAGCGGGAAGCACCATAAATTCATTAGCAAGACTTGGTTTTGTACCAGTGGACATGGAGAAACGCCAAAGTTTAAACTCAAGGTGGTTTTTGGCACTCAGCAGCCTCAAAGATGCTTGGAGCCACTTCCTCATGAGGTCTAGCCATGCCCAGAGAAGTAGGTAAATATGCCCTGGTGTACTGACCTGGCAGAGAGAAAAGAGATGTGAGTGGAAGGTGGTGAAGTGCCGAACACAGCTTCCAGACTCTGACTGGAAGCTACACTGTTTAGGACTGAGACTCTTCTGAGCCAAGTGACCCTTTCACATGATGACTGTCCCCATAGTATCTCCACATTATCCAGCAGTGGCCAGAGGTGATGGAGGAGGAACCACAGATCAAAGTGCTATTCAAGTGTTGCAAGCGCTTTCCCCCTGAAAAGATTCAGGGCACTTTAAAACGTACGAGCCCATATCCAAGGCCTTTTTGTACCTACCTGCCTATTTACCTGTAGCTAAAGGCAAATACATGGACAAGCTAAGGCTCCTACGGGAAGACGGTATAATAAAGTGGTCAAAAGGATCAAGTTTTTGGAGTCAGCCTACTTGGGTCTCAGCTCTGCTATTTATTAGTTGCATGACCTTGGACAAGTTACTTAATTTTCCTCTCACTCAGCAATTTTTTAAACTTCAAACTGGGAATGACAATAATAATAGCAACTTCATAGCATTGTGGTGAGGAGTGAAGGCTTAGAAATACTGTACTTACCTTCTTTAGAACAGTCTTTAAGTGGTTAGAACCATGTCTGACAAATGAATAAAACAACAGATGTTAGTTATTTATTAAATGTTTAAGTCACTTAAATATTCCAGAATTAAAAAGAAAGAGATAAATTAGGCAGTATACCAACTTTACAGCATTCACACAAAATTGTAGGAATGAGAGGCTATGCTCACTCCTTCCTGGACCCTTAAAAATAGATTCAGATCATACACGCATAGGAAACCCCAAATCCCAGTCTTGGCCACAGCTATGTCTTTTGCCCTGACAAATGCATTCTCACTGTCCTTTCCTGTCTGCTGAGCTGTCTGCTGTCCCTGCCTCTTTCCTGACCTCCCTAGATGTGGCTTTGCAATCTACTTCCTGATGCAGCCTTTCCTCTGACTCTCTCTGGATATGCTCCTCTGATTTACTGGTTTTTCTTTCCTGAGAGTTGACGTATGGGCCTCTGCTGCTCCATCCATCATAGTGTCAGCTGAGAGCTGCTTGGGTCCCATAGGACAGGGAATGTAGCCAGTCTCTCTCTGATGGGAGAGGGATTAGACAGGTAGAAGTTTCTCATGTTATGAAGAAACTGAAAGGTAACTTCTCATGGTCTTCTATTTTTTAAGATATTGAAAGACAACCAGCATATATCAATAAAAAGGGAGATGTATAAACCATGTGATAAAGATTGTACTAAAGAAGGTACATACAGTGCTTGCAAGCCTAAAAGTTTTAAAGGATGCATTATTAATTATTTCAAATGCTCAGTTTTCTTATTCACTTTTTGAACTAGAGTTGTCAAAGACTGATAATGCTTAGATGTACCCTTAACATTTTTAAGGTGGAACCAAACTACAATAGCAGACCCTCCTAAATATTTGAAATGTTACAGGTCAAGTTAACCAACTGTTAAATATGTTTTATGCTTCTGCATTGACAAATATATCTTTCTAATTTTTGGAAAGGCCAACTTCAAATAGAGTTTCTTTATTCCTTATATTCCACACTTGAACGTGGCCATAATGAAAGGGCTGTTCCCTACCCTTTCCCTACTGAGGCTCAGACTTGCACCACAAAGAAATTTACAAGCATGCAGACCTAGAGACACCCATTCCACTCATCTAAATGTCATCCACAATGTCCCAAGGCAGCCCCCTATTAGCCACAGTCCTAGGTAGACAGAGTCTATCCTCAGGAGAACCAACCTGGGAGAAGAGACCTGTACCGGTTCTGAAAATGTGATTGGAGCCAATTGAGCAGGAAATTCCTGCGTCCTAAGTACACAGTGAGTGACCTGGATCTGGACCTTAGGTAGTCCTGCTCCTTCAGCTTGGTTTTCTTTTTATCCCCAGCCTGAAGCGGTCAGATGGTGGAAGACAAGAGCAGAGCCTGCTTAGCACTGGTCTAAAACCGGTGCAAGGGTAGTGTATTAACCACTCTGCATGTTTTTCTTTCCAGTTGCTCTTGAGTCCCAAAAATGTTGTGTTATGTAGTTTGAGTTACGGTTTTAATGTTTAACACTTATTACAATTATGTCATACTTTTAATCTAAATGACAGGGTATTCTGTTTCATGAAAAAGAAAAACAGTAACTAAACTGGTTTGGAGATCCCAAATGTGAAAGGGCGGAAGGGCTAGCCTTCTAATTTTATACAGAAGCTACCTATTTTGGTTTATTAATAGTATTATTACTGGCAAATGCTACATAATGTTGCATCTTTATCATCTAGAGTTATGGAATAGACTTAGAGGTAATCACTTGCATGGAGCCTGAGGCCATCAAACCCAGCATTTTATATTTTTTTCTCTCATAGAAAGAACACGGAATTAGAAATCCTGTCTGTTTTCTTTTAGTTTTTTCTTTATAAAATAGAAAGGGTGGATTGAAGAAGCCTACTCCTCCCTTTACAAAATGAGGTCAGAGAGTTGTGATTGTGTATCACAGAGGCCCACAATTTATATTCCAAAGAAAGTAGCACAGGTTGTAGAATGTGGCTTTTTTCTTTTTTTAAACTAGTGCCACTGAAGCCATCAGCCTGTTGGTCTCATAGGGGCTCAACTGTACGCTCCAGTGAAAACTCCTCTGTTATCCACATCCAACCAACTACGTGAACAGCATCAGCTCTGAGTGAGGCTCAGGACTTGCCAGGAGGTTGAAGAATATGGTGTCAGTGTTGCCTGTGTATTTATTCTACATTGGATGATTATGAGAAAAAATTGGACCAGTTTGTATCTCTTGGTTTTTTGTTTTTTTTTAGTTTTCACTGACTGATATTTTAAAAATATTATTGAAATGTCCTCTACAGTCTAGACTTCTACTTCTGGGAAAATAGATTTGGTATAACCTTCTCTATTATCCCCACTAAGTATAACTATAAATCCTGGTCATGATATACAAAGCAAATATAACAAGGTGCAGAAAGTCAAGGGGAACTATCAAGAAAATGAAAAGGCAACTCACAGAATAGAAGAAAGTAGTTTAAGTTCATATAACTGATAAGGATCTCATATCCAAAATATATAAACAACACTTACAACTTAACAATAAAAAGACAAATAATCCAATTTAAAAATGAGGAAAGGGTTTGAATAGACATTTCTCCAAAGAAGATATACAAATGGCCACATGAAAAGATGCTCAACATTCTTAGTCATTAGGAGAATGCAACTAAAAAACACAATGAGGTTTAACTCCGCACCCGCTAGGATGGCTAAAATTGAAAAGATAGGCAATAGCAAGTGTTGACAAGGATATGAAGTAATTGGAACCCTCATGCATTGCTATTAAGAGTGTTGAATAGTACAGTGACCTTGTAAAATAGTTTGACGGTTCCTCAAAAATTTAAAAATAAAGCTACCATATGACCCAGCAATTCCTTTCCTAGGTTTATACCCAAAATAATTGAAAACATATGTTCATAGAAAAACTTGGATGTGAATGCACGTAGTAGCATTATTCACACTAGTGAAAAAGTTAAACAACTGAACGCCCATCAACTGATGAGTGGATAAATAAAATGTGGTATATACCTACAGTGGAATATTATTTAGCCATGAAAATGAAATACTGATTCATGCTACAACATGGATGAACTTTTAAAACATTATGCTAAGTAAAAAAAGTCAGACACAAAAGGCAACAAATTTTATGCTTCTATTCACATGAAATGTCCAGAATAAGGCTGGCGGTGGGGTGTGAGGCAATAGGAAGTGATGGATAAGATACAAGTTTTCTTCTGGGGGTAAGAAAAAAGAGTAGAATAGAACAGAACAGAACAGAAGTGTTCTGGGATTAGATAATGGTAATGGTTGCACCTTGTGAATACACTAAAAACCACTGAATTGTACACTTCTAAGTGGTGAGTTCTGTGGTATATAAATTATATCCTAATTTAGAACAACAACAGTAATAACAAAGAAGACTCTGAAAGGTAGAAGAAGGCAGACTGGCCAGTGACACTGGGTGCAGAGGAACAACAGGGTGATGAGTTCTCTGCTGTTGTTTCTTCCTCATAGATGCCAGATCTTGAGCTGGAGAGGCTGACAACCCAGAAATGCCAATGGACAGATGAAAAATAAGCCCAGAAACAGCCGACTCTCTCCAACTGAAGGATCACAGCCTAACACAACGAAAAAATAAGATAATATTAGTCCTACTCCAGTCAAACATCACTGAAAAAATTTATGGTCCCACCACCACCCATATCAGCAAAAGCCTCATTAAAAAGAACAGACTTCCAGCCACTCCTAGGCTGTAACAATTTGTTTCAATACCCTCTCAGGTGTATTCAAAGAACACCAAGTAGGAAGTAGGGACTTTTATCTGCCCTGGTTTATAATGAAACCACTAGCCCCTCTCTTCTCACCAACATGGTGTCAGTGGAGACCACATGGGAAGCCTGTCATCTGGCACCCTACTCCCACTTGGCAGTCATCAGGCACCCCTTCGCTCACTGCTGAGGTGGGGGTCAGAGGAGGCCCTACTAGAGAACTAGGGCTTTCACCGCCACAAAGTCGTAATGAGGCCAACTCCACTGTAGAGGCCGTGTGAGGAGCCAACACTCTCGTTCTTACTCAGCAGAAATGAAGAGAGCCCACTTCATACCCGTGTGCTAACTGAGGCCAACTTCTACCTCAACTTAGCAGTAATGAGGTAGCAACTCCCTTTCCCCTATTGGAATGGTGTCAGAAAAAGTGAGATAAATGAGGAGATTTAAATAAAATTCAGAGTCTCGGGGCATAATATAGAGAATGTCAAGGTTTCAATAGAAAATTTCCCACACAAAGAATCAGAGAAGTCTCAGGCTGAATGAAAAAAAAGATAAACCAAAAGACAAAGATTGATAGAGTGGATTAAAAAAGCATAACCTAATTATATGCTGTCTACAAGAAACTCACTTCAAATATAATAATACAGGCAAATTGAAAACAAAAGAATACTAAAAGATATACAAGCGTTAATCAAAACAAAGCAGAAGTGACAACACAAATAGCACAGAAAGCAGACTTTAGACCAAAGAAAATTACCAGAAACTGAGAGGTACATTACATAAAGATAAAAGGGGCAATCCGCCAAGGACACATAGCAATCTAAATGTGTATACACCAAGCCATCAAGCTGTAAAATGCATGAAGTGAAAAGTGATGAGAATTGCAAGGAGAAATAGACAAATCTAAATTATAGTTGTAGGCTTCAACACCCTTTTTCAACAACTGACAGAACAACACGAAGAAAATCAGTGAGGATATAAAAGAACACAACACCCTCAACCAACAGGATATAATTGCCATTTATGGAATCTTCCCAACAACAGCTGAATTCACATTCTTTTCAAGCAGGCTGTTAATAGGATAAAAACATGGCTAGAGAAAGAGTGAAAATATTTGCAAACCACATATCCAGCAAAGGGCTATATCTAGAATATATAAAGAACTCTCAAAAATTACGTAACACAAGAACAATTCAATTAGACAATGGGTAAAAGTTTCAAAGAGACATATCACTGAGGAGATGTTAAATAAGCACATGAAAAGATACTCAATATCACTAGCCTTAGGATTAAGTATGGTTAAAATCACATGAGATATTAATACACACTTATCAAAATGGCTAAAATAAAAAATAGTAAAATTCCAAATGTTGGCAAGGATGTAGAGAAACTTGATTATTCATATGTTGTTGGTGGGGATGTTAAAATGGTACACCAGTCTAGAAAATAGTTTGGTAGTTTCTTAGAAAGCTAAACATGCAATTATATACTAGCCAGTAATTGGTTTTCTGAGAGTTAATTCCAGAGAAATGGAGCCTTATGTTCACATAATAATGTGTATACAAATGTCTATAGCAGCTTTATTTATAATAATGAAGTATAGGAAAAACCTGATGTCCTTCAACATTTGAGTGGTTAAACAAACTGTGGTATGTCCATACCATGAAATTCTATGCAGCATAAAAAGTGATGAGCTATTAATACACACAACAACTCAGATGAATCTCCAGAAAATTACACGGAGTGGAAAAAAAAAGCTAGCCCAAAAGGTTATGTACCATATAGCCCTACTTATATAACATTTATGAAATGACAAAATATAGAAATGGAGAATAGATTAGTGGTTGCAGAGGAATAAGAAGGGGGATATGAAGGATCCTAGTGTTGGTGGTAATGTTTTGCATCTCCACTGTATCAATGTCTCTATGCTGGTGTGAAAATTGTATTATAGTTCTTCAAGATGTTACCAGTAGGGGAAATTATGTGAAAGAGACATGGGATCTCTCTACATTATTTTTGACAACTGCATGTGAATCTACCATTATTTCAAAATAAAAAATTTAATTTAAAAAATATGATCTGATCTAGCAAGACCCAGCCCAAATTTCATAGACCCTAGAAAAATGCACCTGGAAATGCAGGCATGAGATTGAGATGAGAGGAGTGAAGGAAATTTTTGATAATGATTTTAATAATTTTTAAAACAATTCTTAAAAAGTCAAAAGAGCTTCACAAATATGGACAGCCCACTCTAACCCTCATATTAGGAAATTGTCCTGGAAATCTTGTCCTTATATCCTAAACAATGTTTTGCATCCTTTGGTTTTCATCATGTAGCAATATAAATGATGTGTAAAATCATCTGTGCATGCATTTTAGAAATAGATTTTGAAAACTCAAAGCTAGACATCTTTTTCTTCTAACTTTAGTACTCTGGACATGAAAATAAACCTAGATGTTCTGGCAAATATTAAGTGATTCCTTGGGATATAAGTTTTAAAAGTCTTGCATTTCATTATTCTATCATATCATGGTCATTTATAAAAACCATCAAAGGCAACATTTTCATTTGTCTTGCTCATTGAACATTTTCATACCTATGCTTGGCCCTTTGCTGGCTCAAATTAAATGACTGACCTAATTTTTCCCATACCAGTTGAAACGTTGCTAAAATTGCTTGTAGTTAATCAGCCATAATGATGGAGAATTTTTTTTTTTTGAGACGGAGTCTCTCTCTGTCACCCAGGCTGGAGTGCCAGTGACGCGATCTCCGCTCACTGCAAGCTCCGCCTCCCGGGTTCCCGCCATTCTCCTGCCTCAGCCTCCCAGGTAGCTGGGACTGCAGGCGCCCACCAGCGCACCTGGCTAATTTTTTGTATTTTTAGTAGAGACGGGGTTTCACCATGGTCTCGATCTCCTGACCTCGTGATCCGCCCGCCTCGGCCTCCCAAAGCGCTGGGATTACAGGCGTGAGCCACCACGCCCAGACATGATGGAGAAATTTTATCTTGGATCCAGAAGCTGGGCAAAAGATCTTGTATATCAACCAAGTTTTCTTTTCCTGGTTCTTCCATATATTCAGTAACAATTGTAGTTTTCTGCAGTTTATGTCATTATTTTACTGCTCAGTTTGTGGCCATTAAAAAGGTCATCAAATTGAGATAAATTAGTGAAACTCAGGAAGGAATGACTTCTGGTTCATATTTCTTTGTAGACACCTACTGAAAAAACACATTGAAAAATTGATAAGTTGTGTGTCTGGCAGAAAAGAAACTTCGTCCTCTAGGATCAGAGCTTTTCATATGCAGCTTTTCAAGTTCTGCCTGAAACTCAGAACAGAAAATATTGCAAAGGCATATATACATATTACTAATTTAATAAAAATCACATGCAGAAAAACCCTAGACCCCTTTCTTCATCCTCACAGTTGGAAAGCTCTTTATTTCATAGCTGATTGATAAGGCTTTGCATCACAAAAGAGGAAGTTTTAGAATTAGTACTTCTCTATATGATCAATTATGAATAAGTAAATTGCAAATGTGTGTCTGGCTTCCCAGATATTTCAGAGTATTTTTCAAATTTGTGGTTTTCAACATGGCCTTGGGCATATATACATATATGTGCAAGTGCATATGTGTGTGCACACACATTGTGTAAGTGTGTAATGTTGAACAAAGCTTGTCACGTAATTCTTTCTTTTCTTTCTTTCTGTGGGTACATAGTTGTTATATACATTTATGGAATACATGAAATATTTTGATACAGGCATGCAATGTGTAATAATCCCATCATCTCATGTAATTCCGATTCCCAAACTTTCTTATTGACAACCAGTGTTCTGAAATATATCACAAAATATTCAAAAGTGTATCCTTGCAAAACATCTTGAATATTAAATATTAGTCAC
Organism: Homo sapiens; assembly: GCF_000001405.40. Taxonomy (NCBI): domain Eukaryota; kingdom Metazoa; phylum Chordata; class Mammalia; order Primates; family Hominidae; genus Homo; species Homo sapiens. The sequence continues at coordinate 233,852,247 of NC_000001.11, forward strand.
ACATGCACTGAAGTCCCTCAAATAAATGGTTATGGATTAAAGTGCCGAGTAAAATGTAATGACACAGAAAATAATTTCAGTGTTCACGACATTTATTTTTCTATAGGTCCTTCCACCAGGAGTTTACATAATGCTTATAACACACTTGGCACTTGCTGAACTCCACAACACAAGGGACTAGATCTCTTTATTGATAAATAGGTAGCCAGAGCCTAGCACTGTGTCTGGTACACAGTGGGCACTCAGCAAATATTTGTGGAAAATGAATAAAGGAAGAGTCCAGTATGACTCCTGGTTTCTGGTTTGGGAGCCTAATTGGATGGCAACGACATTAACGGATAGAAAGCGTAGAATAGACACAGAAAGGGAAAAAAGAAAATGAATTGGTATAGCCACTTTGGGAGACAGTTTGGTATTTCTCTAAACTAGACATACTTTCACCATGCAATTCAACAATCACCCTCCTTGATATTTACCCAAAGGAGTTGAAAATTTAGGTCCACACAAAAACCTGCACACACATGTTTATAGTAGTTTTATTCATAGTTACCAAATTACCAAAACTTGGAAATGACCAAGATTTTCTTCAGTAGGTGAACGGGTAAATAAACCATGATACATCTAGACAGTGGAATACTAATCAACACTAAAAAGAAATCAGCTTTCATCTATGAAAAGACATGGATGAACCTTAAATGCCTATTTCTAAGGGAAAGGAGCCAATCTGAAAAGGCTACATGCTGTATGAATCCAACTATGTAACATTCTGGAAAGGCAAAAGTAGGAAGACAATAAAAAGATCAGGGGTTGCCAGAGGTCAGTGGGGAAAGAGGAATGGCTAGGTAGAGTAAGAGGACGTTTAGTGCCATGAAACTATTCTGTGTAGTACTATTAATATAATGGTGGATACATGTCATACATTTATCAAAGCCTACGTAATGTGCAACACAGAGAGAAGCCTAATGTAAACTATGGATGTTGGGTAATAATGATGTGTCAATGGAGATTCATCAATTATAACAAATGTAGCATTCTGGTGGAGAGGTTATGCACATTGGAAGGGCAGGGACTATATGGAAAATCTCTGTACTTTTTGCTCAGTTTTGCTCTGAACCTAAAACTGCTCTAAAAAAATAAAGTTCGCTGGGCGTAGTGGTTCATGCCTGTAATCCCAGCACTTTGGGAGGCTGAAGTGGGTGAATCACTTGAGGCCGGGAGTTTGAGACCAACTTGGCCCACATGGCGAAACCCCATCTCTACTGAAAATACAAAACTTAGCCAGGCTTGTTGCTCATGCCTGTAATCCCAGCTATTCAGGAGGCTGAGGCATGAGAATTGCTTGAACCCAGGAGGCGGAGGTTGCAGTGAGCCAAGATCACACCACTGCACTCCAGCGTGGGTGACCAGAGGGAGACTCTGTCTCAAAATAAAATATAAAATAAAATGAAATAAAATAAAACAAAAGTCTATTAAAATGAATTTGAGATCATCATGGAAATTTAAAGAGAAAGGGTGTCTTCCACAGGGTTGAATGCTGCAGAGAGAGGAAACATGGTCTAAGGAGCCAAAGTCATCACTGGTGATTAGAAGATTGTTGGTGGCAGGGGGGACATGCCTCATGTCTGTAATCCCAGCACTTTGGGAGGCTGGGACAGGCAGATTGCTTGAGTGCAGAAGATTGAGACAAGCCTGGGAAACATGGCAAGACCCCATCTTTACAAAAAATAAAAAAAGCTTATCCAGGAGTGGTGGTATACACCTGTAGTCCCAGTTATTCTGGAAGCTGAGGTGGGAGGATCACTTGAACCTGGGAGGCAGAGATTGCAGTGAGCCAAAATCATGCCACCTTACTCCAGCCTAGGTGACAGAGTGAGACCCTGTCTCAAAAAAAAAAAAAAAAAGAAAAAAAAATTGTTGGTGAAATGATTTGGAGATTTAAGCCCCTCCAAACCTCATGTTGAAATTTGATTCTCATTGTTGAGGTGGGGCCTAGTGGGAGGTGTGTGGGTTATGGGGGTGGATCACTCAGGAATGGCTTAGTGCCATCCTGCTGATAATGAGGAGTTCTTACTCTATTAGTTCCCATAAGACGTGGTTGTCAAAAAGGCCATGGCACCTCCCTGCCCTCTCTGGCTTCCTTTCTTGCCATGTGATCTGCACACACTGGCTCTCCTTCACCTTTTGCTACTGAGGCCTCACCAGTAGCAGATGCTGGCAGCATGCATCTAGTACAGCCTGCAGAACCATGAGCCAAATCAACCTCTTTTCTTAATAAATTACCCAGCCTCAGGTGTTTATAGCTACTAAGTATTCAAAGACAAGCTCATATTCACTAGAAGTTAGAGATGCAAAAAGTTTTAAAAATATGCAATACCACTCTACTCAATATTTTTAAGGTTAGATGATATCAGTTTCTAGAGACATCAGAAGATACAAGGATCCTTATGCACTGCTGGAGAGAATGTAAATGGATATAGCCTTGATATGGTTTGGATCTGTGTCCTCATCCAAATCTCATATCGAATTGTAATTCCCAGTGTTGGAGGTGGGGCTTGTGGTAGGTAATTGGATCACGGGAGAGGATCCTTCATGAATGGTTTAGAACCATCCCTTTGGTGCTGGTCTTGTGATGGCGAGTGAGTTATTATGAGATTTGTTTGTTTAAAAGTGTATAGCACCTCCCCTCTGTTTCTCTTCCTCCTGCTCTGACCATAACGTACTTGCTTCCCCTTCGCCTTCTGCCATGACTGGCCTCCCCAGAAGCCAAGCAGATGACAGCGTCATGCTTCCTGCGCAGACTGCGGGACTTTGAGCCAACTAAGCCTCTTTCCTTTATAAATTACCCACTCTCAGGATCCTCAGGTATTTCTTTATAGCAATGTGAGAATGAACTAACACAAGCCTTTATAGAGAACGATCTGTAACATATGATAATGCATAATGAAACTACCACTAAAGCCAAAATCAGTTGGATCCCTTGGAAATATCAATGCAACAGATTCTCCATGAAAAATGAAACCATGATGACAACGAGATTGAACAAGTAGTAGGAACAAACGTACCTTGCCTATGTATTGAATTGATTTGAGTGCTGGAGAATTGGAGTTCACCATATGCACAAGGGGGAGGCTTCCATGAAGTCTCAACTACATGGTGAATCCCACTCACACCCCCTATTAAACCTACACCAGGTGATACACCAGGTGATACCCCAGTATTTACCCTGTACCTGCTGCATGACACTCAGTGAGAACCCCAGCTTCAGAACAACAGCAGGGGGCTTTATTTCTTTTTCCCTGCTATATCTCTAGTGCCTAGAATAGCTTCTGGCACATACTGGCTGGGCAATAGTTGTTGGATGGATGAATAGATGGGTGGGTGGATAGATGGATGAATGAAAGCATTTTTGAATTAAACAACAAATAAGAATTGGAGAAGTAAAGTTATAGGAACAGTCACCTTCCATGGGAGAAAACCGACACATTTTTTGATGCTAGCTCTTTTCTTGGTTTGGTAATTGGGCTTTAAAGATGTGTGTGTGTGTGTGTGTGTGTGTGTGTGTGTGTGTGTGTGTACATTGTTCTACGATGTTACATTGTGGTTCCTCCCTCTCCTTTTCTTGACCTTGCCTTACAGGATTGATTATGCCCCTTTCTTCATGCAAGGCCCTCATTTTCTTTTTTATTAACTTTCAGCTCTCATTCTTTCCCCAGCACAGACTTGCTCTATTGCACTGCATCTACAGCCTCACCATGCACATTCTAGGTGTTTATTTGCATGTGTATGCAGGCCAATATCCAATTGGCACACGGGGCACAGCCTCCCAGGAGGAGCCCATTCTGATGGGTTGACACTCACCACACTTATTTTTCACTATTTTAAATATTGGCCTGTGCATAGCCTAATGTTCGTCTAAATACAGTTGACCCTTGAACAACATGGGTTTGAGCTGAGCAAGTCCACTTATATGCGGATTGTTTTCAATCAAATGAGGATCGAAAATACAGTATTGGAGGGATGCACAACCCCCGTATATGGAGGGCAGAATTTTCTTCTATGAGGGTTCCGCAGGGCCAACTGTGGGACTTGAGTATGCTTAGATTTTGGCATACGCAGGGGGCCTGGAACCAATTTCCCGCTTATACTGAAGGACAACTGTATATTCTTAATATATCTAATACTCATTTAACATATTATAATGGTTATTTTAAATATATTTTAATAGTAGTGCTCATTTAATTGGAAAACATATATCTTTGTTTCTCAATTTTCTTCATTCTACTTTGTTTTTGCAAATCATCCACATTGCCTTCATTTCTTCTGACTGCTACAAAATGTTCCATTGCATGCAGCTAGCATTTTACTCATTCACTCTAAGGACAGACATAAAGGTTACCACCTGTTCTTTGCTGCCATCCTTGCCAATATAGTTGGAAATTCCTAATATATCTTTCTTTATGGAGCTATGTGCTAATTTTTCTGAGGTATATACCCAGGATGGAATTGCTAGAGTAGTACACATGTCTGATTTCATTATGTATTATCATATATTATAAATTGTTCTCCACAAAGGCCATATCTATTTACCTTCTCTCCAGAAGTGCATGAGGATCCCTGTATCTTCTGATGTCTCTAGAAATGGATATCATCTAACCTTAAAAATATCAATTAGAGTGTTATTGCATTTTTTAAAATAAATTTTATATCTCTAATTTCTAGCAAATATGAGGTTTTCTTTAAATTCTCATTAGCTAGTCAGCTTTTCACTTCTGTTAATGGCTAATTCATATTCTTTCCCCATATTCTAGTGAATTTTCTGATTTTTTTCCCATTTATTTTCATGAGTTTCTTCAATGTGCCAGACATGAATCCTTGTAAGGTTTTGGAGACTGGAAATTTCTTTTCCCACCTCTTAATACTGCTTTCTCAGGATTTCTACAGAGTGGGAGCAACTGTATATCCTGATCTAAACTATAAGTAGTTTTCCTTTATCTGCCAGGGATACATTCTAAGACTTTCAGTGTGTAAAGCAAAAAGTGTCTGAGACAGATCTCAATTGATATAGAGGTTTATTTTGCCAAGGTTGAGGGTGCACCCAGGAACAAGAGACACAAGTTACAATAAGATCTGTGTTTGGTACTTCTTCCAAAAATGGTTTTGAGAACTTCAATATTTAAAGGGGAAATAACAGGCAGCAGAGGAAGAAGGAAAGAAAACAAAAGGGAGGGTAGGTGGTGAGAGGAGTGATTACATTTTTGTAAGGCTTTGATCAGCACTTACTGAATCCACATGTTAAATATGAAAGCAGTGGGATAGAGAAACAGTCAATTACGCATTCATCTCATACTTAGTAGATCTGTATTTTACACAGGATAAAGTAAACAGAGAGTAGAGGAAGAAGTCAAATATGCACTTATCTTGAAGGTGGGTGGAGGGATGATTTCTAGTTTTGTCTTTGTCCTGTACCTTTGAAGATAAGCTGTTGATTCACATTGTCAGGGTGAGGGAGACCACTTGGTGAGCTATGTGGCCTTCTATCTTGCAGCTGTTTAGAACCAAAAGGAAGGCAGTATTTTTGTTTGTTTGTCTGTTTGTTTTGTGTGACTCAGCTCCCAAGCTTAAAACTTTCCCCTTTGGCATAGTGAGCTTGGGGTCCCAGAGATTTTATTTTCCTTTCACATGTGGATGTCTGAAACCTCAGATAGAACCAAACCCCCTGTGTACCATGTTATTTTGACCTGAACATATACTGTGTTTTTTCTATGTGATATCTCACACGTCTACTAGCGGGTGGGTAGCATACACAGTATGGATACACGGGATAAATGGATGATTCATGTCTTGGATAGGAGGGAGCAGAATGGCATGAGAGTTCATCGTGCAAGTCTGAGGGTGCACAATTTAAAACCTAGAAATTATTTATTCCTCGAATTTTTCCATTTAAAATTTTTGGACTGTGGCTGACTGCAAGTAACTGAAACCAAGGAAAACAAAGCCATGGATAAGGGGCACTACTGTACTCACAGCATTTGTGACACCAATTGTGTGTAGGTTTCCTTCCCCACACCAACAAATTCCCTCTCTGGGTATCCTGCAATTTAATTCAATTCTGACAAGAACTACCTGGAGTTGGTATCAGACTCCACAGGCTTAAGGGTTCAGTCCCACAAAACTGCCCTCACTTTGGAGGCTACTTGCAAATAGAGGGTCCCCAGGTTACTCACACTTCTGTCTGACTTGGCTACAAATCAGGGGTTCCCATGACTCCCCTTCAGTTTCAGTAATTTGCTAGAATGGCTCACAAACTCAGAAAAATTATTTACTTTCTCTCACTGATTTACTATACACAACACAACTCAGGAACAGCCAAATGGAAGAGAGGCATAGATCTAGGTATGGAGTGGGGGTTGCACAGAGCTTCCCTTCCCTCTCCCGACACTGCCCTCCCAGCACCTCCATGTGTTCAACCCAGAAACTCTCCAAACCCTGTCGTTTAGGGGTTTTTATGGTGGCTTGATCGGTTAAATCAATGGTCATTAGTAATTGAACTCAATCTCCAGCCCCTTCCTGGAGGTTGGTGGGGAGTCTGGACATCCAACCGTCTAACCACATGGTTGGTTCTTTTGGCAAGCAACCTTCATCCTAAAACCCTCTAGAGGCTTTTCCAAAGTTATTGGCATAAACTCAGGTGTGGTTGAAAGGGCTTATTATGAGTAACAAAAGACTCTCTTCTTATTCCTGTCACTCAGAGAATTCTAAGGGTTTTAGAAGCTCTGTGCCAGGAACCAGGGACACAAACCAAATATGTATTTCTTATTATCATACCTGGTATTTGCCAAAATGTGGGTCCAGGTACAAAATCCATGTTGATGTCTGGAACTTCCATCACTCTGGGGAAGGTGGCATCTTAAAAATGGGGACCCCTGAGAGTACTCATTCATTGAATATTCATTATTTACCTGACACCAAGGCTCCTACTTTTGATCAGCTGATAGTCTAATGGGGGAGGCACATAACAAGGAAGAAATCATCCAGACAATGGAAAGGTATAGAGGAATAACCAGGGCAAAGTAACATGGTCACATGAAACTCCTCTCTCTGCAATGGACCTAGTAGGTCTCTGAAACAAACACATCATTTACCAGCACTACCCCTTTCATAAGTGTCTGCAGATACTGTGGTTCAGGATTGAATGGCTAGAATGTCGTGTTGCTCTAGAATATGTCGTAAAGCATCAGGTTCTACAGGGTGGAAATCACCCCTCCAAGCACAGAGTCATACCTGGTGCCCTTGGTTCCACAACCTTAAAGGAGACATCGCTTGCTGGAAACCAGTTCTACTGTGGCTATGGCTGTTCTTCACAGTTCTTAAGGAAGGAAGTCTAGTGAGATTCATTGCAAAATCAGCCCAGCAGTTGCCTAATCCTCAGCAGCCTCCAAGCAGGAATCCATGTGCCAGGAACTACCACTTTGTTGTGTTTTCCATCAGGCTTCTTCTGAGCAGGGAGCTCAGAGACAATTATCTTGCTTCAGTTCCCAGCCTGACAGGTAATCAAAGCCCCCGGGCTGAAATAAAGGACTAGTATATATTCTTGCTGGCTTGTACTGTAACATTTTGCCAATTCCTTTGTACACATCCACACTTTCTGTTAAATATTTTAAGTGAAGGTAGCAGCTCAAAGAGATTTTCTGTTTCTTTATGATTTCCTTTGTACATGGCCTTCTACCTTCCCTTCTCTTTCGCTCTCCCCAAAGGCACATAGGCAACTCCAATTTTTAAAGAAATAAATATGGAGTATGTGAATTATCCAGACCTCTTACTTTTTCTCCCTGTCCTCTGCCTGATGACTTCCCCATTGTTGGTCAGGGTCCTATTGCCTACAAATACAGGCAGAGGGAAAGAGTGAAAATGGGTTCATTGCATTATGTTTTTATATCTTTGGTTTGACAATAAATGGGGAAAGGGCAAGTTAAATCTACTAACAAGTAATGCTTGAGGTTATCTGTGGATTACAAATAAAATGGTAAATGTCTCACCCTCTCTTTTCTTCTCAGCGATGTGTATTTCTTATCCCTTTTTTGTGAGACTTTCCTGAGGATTCCAGGCTGGAACTAATTCTAACAGACTGATGCATATGTGTAGGTGGGAAAGTTACAGTGCATGGGACAAATCTGATCAGACCCAGAATGGAATTTTTTAAGCTCTTTTAGCTCTTGGCAAAGCTAAATTGGATCTAAATTCTTTGTGGTTGTTTTGTTTCTGGGTTTTTTTGTTTTTGTTTTTGTTTTTTGTGATGGGGTCTCGCTCTGTCACTCAGGCTGGAGTGCAGTGGCACGATCTTAGCTCACTGCAACCTCTGCCTCGTGGGTTCAAGCAATTCTCCTGGCTCAGCCTCCCGAGTAACTGGGATTACAGGTATGCACCACCATGCTTGGCTAATTTTTTGTATTTCTAGTAGAGATGGGGTTTTGCCATGTTGGCCAGGTTGGTTTTGAACTCCTGATCTCAAGTGATCCGCCCGCCTCAGCCTCCCAAAGTGCTGGGATTACAGGCATGAGCCACTGAGCTTGGCCTTAAACTGGATCTAATTTATTGATAATGTTATCAATATCCTAAAGACATTTTGAATTTCCAAAAGTGTCAAACAAAGGGGACTCACCTTCTCCAAGCTATGGTCTAAAATCTCTTTTTGCTTTCTTCATTTGGCCATTGTCATGGGGTAATGCAAGAAGAGCAAGACAAAATAAAAATCTTCCACAGTGTTTGACTAATCTAAGGCCAATAGCAAGCCATCGTATAAGAAGGAATCAGGCTTTAGTTATGGAGTAAAAAGAGTAAAATGAATCCTATCTCGGGAGAAAAAAAATCATAAACTTAAAATTTTACTTTTCCTCATTAAGAAAGTGCAAAGACTTCAGGATTTTAGAGTTGGTAGAATGATTGACCACTTTGTTACACCAGAATATGGCGAACTCGTCCACTACTGAAATTTGCTTTCTTATTTTGTTTGTCCAATGTATTTTAAGGAGCTAGGACTCAATTTCTCAACCCTGAATCTACATTATGTAGCATTGCTTGTCAGGTCATGTATATTTTTCTTGACTAGTGTTTATTTAATTCTCATTTAATAATCCCCATAGCAAAGAAAGCAAAAGGAGTGTTGAAATGATTCTTCCTCTCAATCAGAATATGGTAAAATGAACAATGTTCTCCAGATCCACTCCGAGTAGGGTTGGCAGATAAAATATAGGATTCCCAGTTAAATTTGAAGTTCAGATAGTTGATGAATTATTTTTGAAGTGTAGGTATTTCCCAAATACTGCAAAGGTTATTCTTATACTAAAAAACTCTCTTGTGTATCTGAATTTTTTTTTTTTTTTTTTGATGAAGTCTCGCTTTGTTGCCCAGGCTGGAATGCATTGGTGCGATCTCGGCTCACTGCAACCTCTGCCTCCCAGGTTCAAGCAATTCTCTGCCTCAGCCTCCAAAGTAGCTGGGATTACAGGTGCCTGCCACCATGCCTGGCTAATTTTTGTATTTTTAGTAGAAATGGGCTTTCACCATCTTGGCCAGGCTGGTCTTGAACTCCTGACCTCGTGATCCACCCACGTTGGCATCCTCTGAAATTTAAATTTAACTAGGTGTCCTATAATTTTATGGGATTACAGGTGCCCGCCACCATGCCTGGCTAATTTTTGTACTTTTAGTAGAAATGGGCTTTCACCATCTTGGCCAGGCTGGTCTTGAACTCCTGACCTCGTGATCCACCCACGTTGGCATCCTCTGAAATTTAAATTTAACTAGGTGTCTTATAATTTTATGGGCTAACTCTAGAAAGCTAGCTCCAGGAGCATATTTAGTAAGCTATGAATTAGAACCAGAGTAGTCTTTTATTATAGTTTTTAAATGATTCTAGTCCAGCCAATGAGGTCTGAGTGTCCCCATGAAGGAGGAAAACAGTTTGGTGACATAGAAGTCACAGGGGCTGAGGACCTGGGAGCAATGCTGGCTTGGGTTGTTTACTGGTTGTTTGTCTTTGGGCAAAACGCTCCAAGCTCTTTTAGCCTCAACATCTTCATCTGCAAACTAGGGGTTTGAACTGTTTTCTAGCTGCTCTTGGGGGGCCTAGGTTTTCTTGGCACACTCTCTAGAGTTCTCTGGATTGAGGAAGATGAGCACAAACAGCTGAACTCCAGACCTCGATTCTGCTTCAACACGAGAAGCTACATTTTGGGTTCCCTTAGCATTAGATATTGCTAAGATATAGTGTTTGGGGGCTTAAATTAAAGAACGAAAGATAGCAAACCATCAGTGTAGATATTTCCAAGGATTCTCCCAGTTCTAAGTGTCACAGAGGTCTTTAAGGGACACTGCAGGGAGAAAAAAGAGTGAGACTCAATCGTCTGAGAAACTGAAAAAGAAACATGCGTTGACTTTGACCATCATGTCTGCAAAGGAGACCCTATTTGCTTCTATTTTCTATGAGCTTTATTTTCCTCCTGTGGGTATAATAGTATGTGTTTCCCTTCCCCGTGCTGAAATAATCTGCCAAAGGAAAGTGCTCTGGGAATGCTAATGAAGTTTTATGGACAGTAGATTTGAGGATAGAAGCTGCACAGAGAGAAAAGAGAATTTAAAGGCATCCCAGGATAGAGCTTAACTGGAGACTGAGAGAGTTTTCTAAGCAACATCCCTATGTCCAGGTTATTGAGTGCGTTGCTACACCAAAGGATGACAAATTCATTCACTACCACAATTTTCCTTCTTATTTTATTTGTTGAATACATTTCAGAAGCTGTAACTCCATTTTTCAACCCCGGATGCACATTACAATTTCCTGGGAAGTTTTTAAATAATATTGATGCCAAGGCCTTGTTCTTAGGGGTTATTCTTTGATTAGTTTAAGTTGGGGCCCAGGTGTTAGGCATTTTTTAAAAGCTTCTATTGTATCCTAATGTTTAGCCACAGCTGAGAACCACTCAGAATGTGTGCAGATCTCCCTCTCATCGGTGCCATTAACTGGCTCTTCCCTCCTGAGGTTGGGGTAAATGGCCTCTGCTCAGCTCTAAGACCGACTGCAATGGTGTGCAGTAGGTCCCATCCGCTCCCCATGTTAACCTCAAGTTGTCCCCCACTCGCCTGTAGCATCATATTTTCTCCCTGACCTTTCTCTTATATAGGCAAGCATGCCAATAATCATCCCCATGCTTACAGTAATCTCTCTTGATCCCACATCAAACTTCAACCTCTGCCTAAATACTCTGCCTTTCTTAGATCAAAGTTCTTTAAGAGCTTTCTGCACTAAAGGTTTACATGTTTTTACCTCCCAGTCTCTTATTTCATTTTTGTTGCATTTTATACTTAGAAAAGAATAGATGCAACACATATGTAATATATGAAGCCTCATAATAAAACAAATTTCTGTGACCTCTGCATCACATTTCAGATTGTAATGTTACTAGCACCATGTTTGCTTCCAATTCACTTTTTAAAAATTTTATAGTTATTTTTAAAGGTGTTGAATGAGGACAAAAGATTGTCTATAATGTTTGTGCAGGTAAAAAGTGAGAAAATAAAAAGAAAGTGAACACTCATGTATGCACCACAGCCTGTAATACAACATTGCTAGTCTGTTGACCCCCTTCTGTGACTTTCCTATCCCACCACCTTTCCCCCATCCCAAGTAAATTTTCCACCAAATTTTGTATTCAGCATGCATTTGCTTTTCATAATAATTTACCATGGTTACATCCTTCAGCAATGTTTAGTCTAGCCTGTTTTTGTACTTTATCCAAGTTTTTCTTATCTCCCTCCAATTGAGTGTTCATTCCAACCACGAACCTGACAAATACAAGGCTAACCCTCTAGCCTTGTATCATCAGCCCCCAGCTCCATTGGACACTCTTGATTTCTGTCTCCTTCTTGATCACATTGGATGGGGCACTCTAAGATCCTCCCACCCACCTCACACGAGTTCCTTTTTTTTCAGTTCCCTATATTGGATGCTTCTCCTCTTGCCATATTCTATGTATTAGAATACCCAGAACTCAGTCCTCATACATCTTGCCTGTCTAAGCTCACTTTTTGGCCAAGAAACATATGAAAAAAATGCTCAACATCATTAATTATCACAGAAATGCAAATCAAAACCACAATGAGATACCATCTCACACCAGTAGGAACGGCTATTCTTAAAAAGTCAAAAAATAACAGATGCTGATGAGGCTGTGGAAAAAGGGAACACTTAGACACTCTTGGTGGGAGTGTAAATTAGTTTATCCACTGTGGAAAGCACTTTGGAGATTTCTCAAAGAAATTAAAACAGAACTGCCATTCCACTCAGCAATCCTATGACTGGGTGTGTACCCAGAGGAAAATAAATCATTCTACCAAAAAGGCACGTGCACTCACATGTTCATCGCAGTACTATTCACAATAGCAAAGACATGGAATCTACCTAGATGCCCATCATCATTGGATTGGATAGAGAAAATATGGTACATGTGCACCATGGAATACTATGCAGCCATAAAAAAGAATGAATTATGTCCTTTGCAGCAACATGAATGCAGTGGGAGGCCATTATTCTAAATGAATTAGTGCAGGTACAGAAAACCAAATACCATGTGTTCTCATGTGTAAGTGGGAGCTTAACAATGGGTACACATAGGCATAAAGATGGCAACAATAGACACTGGGGACTCCTAAAGGGAAGAGACAGGGAGTGGGGCAAGGACTGAAAAACTGCCTATTAGGTACTATGCTCACTATCTGGGTGACAGGATCATTTATACCCCAAACCTCAGCATCACACAATATACTCATGTAACAAACCTGCCCATGTACCCCCTGAATCTAAAATAAAAGTTGAAAGTATATAAATAAATAAATAACTCACTCACTTTTCCAGGTGACCTTATTAGTCCAGTAGTTATAAGTGCCATAGATCTGCTGAAAAGACTCTCGGAATCTACTCCCTTCTGAGCTCCAATTGGTATATTCAACAGCTTCCTTGAAATCTCCACTTAGATACCTAATATCCGTTCTCAAATGTAGCATGTGGAAAGTATAATTCTTTGTTTTCCTTACCAAACTGCTTCTCTCCAAGCCTTTCTCATCTCAGTAAATGGCAATTGCATTCTACCAGTTACTTGGGCCAAAATTTGAAATTCTTGGAGTCATTTTCAAATCCTTTTTTTCTCTCTCTCTCACAAATAGCACATCCAATCCATGGCAAATCCTGTGAGCTCTATCTTTGGAACCCATCCTGAATCTGCCCACTCCTTACTTCCTTCACCACTATCATCTTAGCGAGAGCTTGATTATGTCTTGCCTGGATCCTGTGAGATCAGCCAATCTGGTCTCTCTTCTTCCATCTTGCTTGCCCTCTGCCCATCCCCACTCCAGCTAATCAGCCAGAATGATCTTTCTGAAACCTTAATCAGACATTACCCCATCCTTCTCCAAGCCCTCCAGAGGCTCCCTGGCACACTAAAGTCCAGACTCAAGACCTTACAGGATATGGCTCCTGGATTCCTTTTCAGCTTCACATCCTACCTCCTTTTCCTTGCTCACCCACCTTAACTACTCCAGCTTCTGTTCCTCAAATGCCAAGTCCATTACCATAGCCTTTGCATTTATTATTGCTTCTACCTACAACATCAATATCTATTCTGCTGCCTCTCTCAGGTTTCTGCTCAAACATCTACTTCCCAGAGAGGCCTTCCCTGACCACTCTATCTATAGCAGCACTTCCTAATGTAAGCATTTTAGAAATCTGGCTCACTGTTGTATTCTAGGCTTCCAGCAACAGAACTGGGTGTGTAATAAGTGCTTCATAAATATTAGTTGAATGAGAATGCTGTGATTCTGCTGTGGAGGTTTTACAATGGAGTTAGAGGGAATGAGTCATGCACTCACTCTATTAGTTAGGGATTTTGTTTCAAAGTAAGAAACAAATTAGAGCCAATCTACATAGAAAGGGGGAATTTATTACAGAATGTAGGAATATATTATTGAAGCCAATGATAAAAGTGCAAATGCGTCTCTGAGAGAGAGAGAGAGACTGAGTCTAGGGGTCGAGGGACTCGAGAGCTGTCCCATTCTCTCCATCTCTCATCTCTGCCCTTATCTCTGTGTCTGCCTCACCCACTCTGTCCCTATTGAACAATTCCCACCAGTGGGTGGACGATGTTCAGCCTTCAGTTTCCAAGCAAGTCTAATCACTTGTAGAGAGACTGACTTCTGAAACCCAAGCCTCTGGAGAGGAAATTCTTGCTTGGCCAGTGGGCATTAATTAATGCCCCAATGTGGCTGGAAGAACAGTACCATTTCGTACTAAGAAGCTGCCCTGGGGTCTGTCACAATTAGTGGGGAAACCATGTAGGAGTTCATGAGGACTTGGGCAAACATTTTGAAAAGATGTCCATGATCTGTTTAAACTACAATCACAAGCATCAAATGACATGGGTTACATTTTCTTTATTCCCCTGTTAGACTGTGAAATACGTCTTGTCTCCATATCCTAGAATCAAGGACTCCATATTTAAAGAAAGTTTCCTCACTACTCCACATCTGAAGCTATCACTATGACATGGTTTCTATTACAATGAGGTAGCTAAAGCAGAAAGGCTAAGCACTAAGAATGTTTGATTGACATCAAGATCAACAGCCATTTTTCTTTTCTTTATAACAATGCTTAACAGGAGCAAACATTAAAGAACATTATACTTAGAAGTGATGCACTAGGGCAACTATTAAAATGATTTTTTTCTTTAGATGGAGTCTCGTTCTGTCACCCAGGCTGCAGTGCAGTGGCATGATAAAATGATCTGTATTTTTAAAAGCCATTTGTTTTCCAGAGTCAAGAAAACCTTTTTTTGCTTTTTGAGCCATTTATAGCTTACAACAAATTAGGTAAAGTATACTTTTGCAAAGTACATTTTTGTGAACAAAAATTTGAAGGATTTATCTTTCTCTTTCCCTGATTTCTCCAGAACCTGGAAACTATTCGTGAGTATTCTTAATTTATGGCAACATAGTTATTTGCATAAGTTCAATAAGAATGTTTTCTTTTGTAACAGGATATTGGGGACACCTTATTTTACCAAAGCTTTATATTTTTTCAGGTAAAGTTCCAGCAAAGCTAACTTTAAAAGAGCCTATGTGGCTAATCACTCTTCTTGTAGTACTTTATGCAAATAATCAGGCTAAATATGATAATCCTAAAACATATTTTTTACAAAAATTGGTCTTACTATAATTTCTCTTTGATAAGAAAGGGGAACTAGAGGAAGAAAAATAATATTTCAAAGGAAATCTATAACATAGCTATTACTGGGTTCACTAAAGAAAAAACAGATTATAATACTCTTCACAATGTTTTTAGTTGACTCCCTAATGAAATAGGGGTTTTCATTCCTATATTTCAATAGCTTTGTCTTTCTAGGTTTTTTTTTGTTTTGTTTTTTGTTTTGTTTTGTTTTTTGTTTTTTTTTTGAGTCAGAGTCTCTGTTTGTCACCCATGCTGGAGTGCAGTGGTGTGATCTCGCCTCACTGCAACCTCCACCTCCTGGGTTCAAGCGATTCTCCCACCTCAGCCTCCAGAGTAGCTGGGATTACAGGCACCCACCATCATGCCCAGCTAACAGTTTTGTGTTTTTGTAGAGATGGGGTTTCACCATGTTGGCCAGGCTGGTCTTGAACTCCAGACCTCAGGTGATCTGCCCACCTTGGCCTCCCAAAGTGCTGGGATTACAGGCATGAGCCACTGTGCCTGGCCTATAGATTTTTAAAAGTATGTTTGCTTTGACATATCTCTTGTAAATAGAGTATACCTGGATTTTAAAACCATTTTAACCCTATTTTTAATATGTAATTTTAATTTCTTTACATTTATTTTCATTACTGATGTGCTTAACTTATTCTTTTATTTTTTCTATCTAACATTGCAATATTTTATCTCTTTTTGTTCCTCTTCTACCTTTTAAAAGTATTTTATTTAATTGTAATTTCATTGTTTTATTCCTCTCACTCCCTGTAATAGTTTAAAAGATATGCTTTTTATTTCTAATGTTCTCAACTTTAATATACACATATTTAGATATGATGTCCTTTCACTAACTAAATGAGTTATTATCTACATCCTGCCTATTAATGAGAATCATAGCAGGATTTAACTTACCTTTTTCTCCCTCTCTTCTTCTGCCACTTCTATGAGATCATCTCTGATTTTAATATCAGATTATGGTTAATTTGTTTTTACCTGGTGATTGATTCTTATTTTAACTCAGCTTTGGCTCTTCACTACTGCTTCCTATATTCCACAACTTCCTCTTTCTTGAAAACATTCATTTAACTGGACTACATTTTCAGTAACGTTTCAGAGTGATTCTGTGGTTAGCAAACTTCATTCTTTCCATGTGTGATGTCATCTTTATTTCAGCCTCATACTTGAGTAATAACTTAGCTGGTTGTAGAAGTCTAGGTTCAGAGTGTCTTTCTGCAGACCTTTGAAATGATTTCTCCCATCACACTGTATTGCCCATAGAAGCCTGGTGTCAGTCTAATTGCTGTCCTTCTGTGGGTATGATATGCAGCACTGATTGCCGGCCAGTATCTAGTCCACCCAGCCTACCTCTCATCACCAGACTTTCCTGTGAGTGACCATCAGTCCCCTTCATACTCCATTATTTTGCAGAAGGCTGGATATTACTCCCAGTCCCATCCATCATCACATCTTCAGGGTCTTAGGTTGGCTTAAGCCAATCAGCACGATGCATATCTGCAGATCCATTGGTTCAAGGGTGGGCATGTGTTTTAAATAAAGGTACTAGGGTTAATCCCAGAATTCTTGTTAGAATACTGAGACAAAAGCTTGCTCTCTCTCTCCTTTTATGGAAAAAAGAATGTAGCTCCAACTGAGACTGGCAGTCTGTATATAAGCCAGTCTTAGGTTGGAAAACCTAACTCTGTGTATAGCAGAACAGAGATGGAAAGAAAATGGGTCCTTGATGACATCATTGAATTACGGAATCAATCAATGCTTGAATGCTGCCCTACCACTGGACTTTTCTTACATATGCCAATGCATCCTCTTTGTTCCTTAAGCCTGTTGATTGTATTTTCTATTATTTTTCAGTAGATAAAGTGAACAACATGTTCCAAGAAAGTAGTTTGTTTTCTTCTCCCTGGAAGTTTTAAAAATATCTCTTTATCTTTAATGTTATGACTCACTAACACATAATGACTAGATCTCTTTATTTCTTTTAGCTAAAATTTATGAAGCTTTTTATTCTCGTGATTCACTCCATTTATTTATTAAACAAGTGTTTTTAAACACTATGTGCTAGAGCATTTTATAATATACAAAGGATACATCAGTGAATATAACAAAGATACAACAAAGTCCCCATCCTCTTGGCAAGACAATACACAAATGAATATATATTATATATATGGATAGATAGATAGAATTTCAGATATTCAAAAGCTATGTGAATTTAAATAAAGCAAAGGAGAAAAATAGAGATGATTGTGACTGGGGGAAGGGCATTGCTATTTGCATCATCAGAGAAGACCTCTCCTAAGAGGTGACATTTAAGCTGAAGGACATGAGAATGAGTCATATCAGTTGTCTAAAAAATGTGGCCTTAGTAGAGTAACTAGCAAAGCCTTAAGGCTAGAATCAATTTTGTGTATTCAAGGAATAAAAAGAGAACTATTAATAGTATGATGGGAACAAAGGTGATGAAGTGAAAGCAGTAGGAGATGTTGGACAGGTAACTGGAGGTCAGATTATTAAAGGCATGCAAGACATAGTGAGGAGTTTAAATCTTATCTTGGGGGAAACCAGGAGAACATGAGACCCCAAAAGCAAAGTGAACAACTTGTTCCGAGGAGGAGGGAGTAGCTAAATCTGCCATTGCTGCTGGTGTTCTGGAAAGGCGATGATGGCATATTGATCATGGGGTTTGGCAACACTGGTGTGATGGAGTATTGACCATAGAGTTTGGCAACGTTGGTGTTGAAGGGGTTTCCAAGGACATTGGGATGAAAGACAGATTGAATGCGTTAAAGAGAGGCCTTAAACTTGGGCCAGTCAACATACACAAGTCATTTGAGGAGCTCTCTATAAAGGAAACAGAGAAATTAGAAATCCTTAAAATGGAGGATATTACAGGCCGGGAACGGTGGCTCATGCCTGTAATCCCAGCACTTTGGGAAGCTGAGGCAGGCAGATCACCTGAGGTCGGGAGTTTGAGACCAGCCTGGCCAATATGGAGAAACGCCATCTCTACTAAAAATGCAAAATTAGCAGGGCGTGGTGGTGGGCACCTGTAATCCCAGCTACTTGGAAGGCTGAGGAAGGAGATTTCCATGAAAAAAAAGAGGAGGGGGGGCACATTACAGATGGTTTGTGTGCTGGTTTAGGTCTTTGTGAGAAAAATGATTCTGTTTCTCTTTTAAAAATTATTTCCTTCCCTTTCTCCCTTCGGTTCTCTCTGTTTTCTCAACTTCTACTTTCTATATCTGTCCTCCAGGTCTCCAAACTTTCTATTATAATTTGCACTGAAGAAATTTTCTACCAGATATTCAAAGAGACTCTTGAGCTCCATTTTCCATTTTATTACTCCACTCTTTGTTTCTATTTAGTTGTTCACACCATTTACTAAGGTAAATTTTTAAAAAGTCAACACTTATATATACTTTTCTTTCTAAGATCTTTTAAAAATAACAGTCTATTTTTGTTTATTGATGTAATGCCCTTTTGAGTCTCTCTGAGAATATTATTTATATCTGTTTACATCTTCTTTAATTGAATTATTAACTCAGTCTCTCTGCTTGTGTCTCAACCCCTGCTTTACATGGTAAATATACACACATGTGAGAGACAGAGAGACAGAGGGAGGCAGGGAGAGAGATTTGAGGTTAGCATGATACAACGCAAGCATTTTCCTAGCAAAGACCCATGAGCGTTAAGCTGTGTGGCTGTCCCCACTCTCATGGAGGAGGTCTTCATGTTAAGAAAAAAAAAAAAAAAAACACAGAAAGAATTGCCTAGTCCTCATCCCAGGAACAGGATCAAGCAGAAATCATTTCATTTTGTTCCTTTCTCAGGCTTCAGCAGAAGGATGTTTAGCTAATTTCCATCTTAAAATTAATAGTATGAGCATTAGAGATATATCAGATAGGTCAATGAAGCAATGAGTTTATCAAGTAAATACATTTACACCTGGTGGGGAGGTGTGACGCCCCATATGTCTTTCATAATGTTGGCTGAATAGGAAGCACATTGCATTCATTTTATCATTCAAGCCTCACTTAAAAGGCATGGTGACTCTGGACAGGCCTCAGTGTTCGATCTGCTCCCCTGGGCTCACAAACCAAGGACACAGCACATTCCATCTCGGAGTCCCCCTTACCTGCCCACACTCCACCCTGTACCTCTGACCACAGCAGAAGATTTCTTTTCTCAAATACTTTTTCAATCACCTACAAAATATTAATAAAATAAAACACGTATTACATTCATGCACCACAAGTCAATGAGTTCCTCAGGTGGACATTATTTTTGTTGTCCTGCTGAAATTGCTACTTATTGTAAGTACTAGACTAAGGCACACGAGGTCTGGTAGGATTTGGTAAAATTTCAATTGGAATGTTCCATGATAACATAGGTTCATCTGGGATGGGGAGGGTGAAGAAGGATGAAAAGATCACCTGCATGCAGCCTTGGAAAAGAGGCACCAGTTTTGTTTAACGTTGTGCCAGAGAGTGGCCGGATATAAGAAGGAAGCATAGGCAATCACTAAGAAGCATTTCTGTGGCAGCCTGAAGCCATGTCAATAAATCGTTTCCAGTGAAATCCCTTTTAATTACTTTTTCATTTAAACGCGTGTGATGCTCAGCAGCATTCATTCATGGCTGAGACTCTCTACTCACGCTAAAGAAGACAAGAAGCCACAAGTCCGGGTACAGAACACTGGGCAGCCACCAAAGTACCTTTCAGGCAAGGACTGAGAGATTTGTCCCCAGGTCCCAAAGTATAAGATGTGGTTTGGGACTGGGTTGTTCATTACATTTAATTCAGCAAATATAACCATGTCTACCTGGTACCAGGCATGATGTGAAACATTTGGGATAGATTAGTGAACACAGCAGACAAAATTCCTGCTGCTGCAGAGCTTACACTCCAGTTGTTAAGCAAAGTAACCAAGAAAAATATTACATTATATATTAAATGGGGGTGATTGCTGTGGAGATAAGAGATCAGAGAAGGTGGACAAGGAGTACCGAGGGGTCAACTTTAAACCTGGTGCTCAGAGACGGTGCCACTGAAGAGGGGGCATTTGAGCTAATACCCAGTGGATGTGAGGGAGCAGGTGGGAGTTTTCAAGGGGAAACAAGGGGGTCATTGTGGCTGTAGACAGTAAACTAAGTGTAAGGAGCATAAGCCAGCATAGGAGCAAGGTCAGAAAAAGCAAAGGGCTTTCTGGGCTGTTGTCAAGTCTTTGGCTTTTATGCCATCTGAGGTGGAAACCATTGGAGAATTCTGAGCAGGGAAGTAACATAATCTGACTTGTATTCTGATAAGGTTACACTGAATGCCGAGTTAGGAATAGACTGTAAGTGGGCCGGGGGGGTAAAATCAGGGAGAATAATTAGTAGATTGTTGTGACTTGGACTAACGTGGGGTGCTGGTGGTAATCGAATAGTAAGAAGCTGAAGCTGATAGAACTTGCTGTTGGGTGGAACTGGGGGGTAAGAGAAAGAGAAGATTCAAGAATGATTTCAGGCCGGGCACAGTGGCTGACACCTGTAATCCTAACACTCTGGGAGGCCGAGGCAGGTGGATCACCTGAGGTCAGGAGTTCGAGACCAGCCTGGCCAACATGGTGAAACCCTATCTCTACTAAAAATACAAAAATGAGCTTGGCATGTTGGCACGCACCTATAATCCCAGCTACTCGGGAGGCTGAGGCAGGAGAATCGCTTGAACCTTGAACCAGGAGGTGGAGGTTGCAGGGAGCCCAGATCACACCATTGCACTCCAAGCTGGGTGACAGAGCGAGACTCCATCTAAAAAAAAATGAAAAAGGAATGATTTCAAGGGCTTTTTCTGAGCCACTGAGAGGATAAAGTTGCTTTTGATTGGGGGGGTGATAATTATGAGAATAGATCTCATGGTGAAAGGGGAAGAGCAAGGTGTTTTTTTTTTTTTTTTTGACATGTTCAGTTTGTGATTCCCACTAGATACTCAGGTAAAGATGCCCATTAGAGAAGTCTGGGCTGGAGATGCTTATGTTGGAATGTCACATTGGGTAGAAAGATACTCTACCCTATGCCTACTCCTTTCAGAAGAGAAATGATGGTTTTTCCTTTTCACAAGTTCTTAAATCTACATGCCATCCACCACCACAGCCACCCCCAGGCTTAGGGTTCAGCTTTTCTATGATTAAGAAGAGTTAACAAGTTTTATCTTATGATACCACCTTTGTTCATCCTAAGTGTTGAGTGTTCCTTATTTCCCGCACCCGGGATGAGTGGCTAATCAAAACCTTTCTAGGACGTCATCATGTATGGATCTCTAATTAGTCATTTGATTTGCAGCAGCAGTAACTACAAGCAGACAATTTTCCCTTTGCAGCTTTGAGAAGCAGAGAGGGAGGGATAATAGTAGACATATGGTAACAATGAATTTTAAACTTTTGCTGATGGGAACATTGACTTTACAGTTTAGAAAATAGTATCTATTTCACAGTGAGCTTATGAAAGTTGAATGAGACAATGTATGTGAACACGTCTTTTAAATTATTCACACATGTGAAGGATAACATATTTTAAGATTCAAGTCCTGCCCGGCATGGTGGCTAACTCCTGCAATCCCAACACTTTGGGAGGCTGAGGTGGTAGAATCAATGAAGCCCAGGAGGTTTAGACTGCAGTGAGCCAAGATCCACTGGGCAACAGAATAAGACCCTGTGAAAGAAAGAAAAGAAAAGAAAGAGAAAGAGAGAAAGAAAGAAAGAAAGAAAAGAAAAGAAAAGAAAAGAAAAGGAAGGGAGGGAAGGGAGGAAAAGAAGGGAAGGAAGGGAAGGAAGGGAAGAAGTTCCACTCCTTTCACTGATATTCCAAGAAAAAAAAGGACTAGATCAAGGTCTCCAGGCAATTTAGTTGCAGTAAAATTTCAAGGTTAATGTCTTCTCACTTTTAGTTTGATACTCCTTCTCCAAGTTGAAATGGAAAATTTCAGCTTGCCCCAAATCAAAAGTACTTTTTTTTACTTTTTCTTAGGGCAAACATGAGTGTATGTTGCTGTGTGGCAGGATACAAATGAGTAACCGTTGATCAGAAGAAGGAATTCACATCAAATTTGTATAAAGTTAAGCCAACTTGCCAAGTAGACAGCTGGGATATTAAAAGAAGTAAATGGTATAAAATGTCAAATGAATGTTTTTGACTGGCACACAGAGGTTTGAAGACATTTGGAAAGATGCTATAATGACACACTGCTGCAAGTAACCATGAATCCTTATTGTTAAACTGGAACAAATGTCAAAATTTTGATTGGTTCAAATATCCTTCAAACCTTAACAATGACGGCTAAAGCAATAAAGTAAAGAAAGATTCAGATCCATTACACAGGAAAGCATTGATGCCATAGAAAGGATAGTAGAATAGGATTATGAAAAGAATATGGCCATAAGAATTCAAAAGTTTGGTTCTAAAACTAGGTTCTCCTCCTGAACAGTTGAGTGACTTGATTCTTCTCCATGTCTGGCTGTAACACAAAGAGTTGCATTAGCTTTGCAAATCTTGAACATTCTATGATGCTCTGGGGACAATATTTATCAAGACTGTGGCATTCTTTTGGGTGATAATGAGAAAATGTGAAGACAGAATATTGTGATAGTTAATTTTATTTGTCAACTTGGCTGGGCCATAGGGGACCCAGATATTTAATCCAACATTATTCTGGGTGTTTCTGTGAGAGTGTTTTGGGGTGGGATTAACATTTAAATTGGTAGACTGAGTATAGCAGATTGCACTCCATAATGTGGATGGGCGTCATCCAATAAGGTGAGCTTCTGAGTAGAACAAAAGATTGACCTCCCCCAAACAAGCGAGAATTCTCCAGCCTGCCAGCCAGTGGACTCAAATGTTGACATTGAATCTGCAGATTTTGGATTTGCCAGCCTCCATAATCACAGGAACCAACTTCATATAATAAATCTCTTAATATGTATCTTCTATTAGTTCTGTTTTTCTGAAAAAGTCTTACATACAGATTTTAGTACTGAGAGTGGTTGCAGAAAAACTGTATCTTAAAGATGAATTTTCTGAATTGCTTTTGAAGTTTCTGGTATTGGAGCTCTAATCTGATCACATTTAAATACACTAATTACTCTATATTCAGTAGTAAAGAAGAGCACTCATAGCCTATGGTGTGATCTGGCGATAGATATATACAAAATATCACAGTTGGATATTCCTAATGAATCGCTTATAAGAAGCAAGGATCTGGGAGACCATGTGAATGATATTTTTGAAAATCTTTGTCAGACAAATGATTACAATGAAATTGGATGGTTGCTTTTAATGTTACTGGCTAAAGTCGGGGGAGAAGATGAGCTCAGGAATACCAGTTCCCAGGTTAAGTGCCATATAAATGAACAGAAAGCTTCTATGTCTGCCTGAAAGAAACCCCTATCTCCTATAGCTGTAGGGCTGAGATTACTAAAAATGAAACCCAGAATCTCATACTTTGAGTGGCTGAATTATAACAAAGATTGGCTTTGCAGTCGCTTTTCCCAGCCACTTTCGTCATTCCTCAGTGGGCTCATAAGCAAAGTAACCATGGTGGCAGGGGTGGGGGTTATGCATGAACTCAGCAACATACAGCTACTGTCCAATCTGCTAGCAGCAGGGACCAACACTGAATTCCCAATATGGCATTATTTCTGAGGTAATCTGCCAGCCACCTGGTGGCAGGTCAATTATATTGGACCACTTCCATCATGGAAGGGACTGTGTTTTGCTCTTATTGAAACAGACAGTTACTCTGGATATAGATTTGTCTTCTCTGCACACCACTTCTGCCAAAACTACCATCTGTGGACTTATGAAATGGCTTATCCACCATCATAGATTCCATACAGCATTGTTTCTGATCAAGAAACTCACTTCTCAGCAAATGAACTGTGGCAATGGGTCCATGATCATAGAATTCACTGATCTTATAATGTTTTCCCCCATCCTGAAACAGCAGTCTTGAAGTGGTGGAGTGGCATTTTGAAGACTCAGCATAGTGTCAGCTAGGTAGCAACACCTGCACTGCTGGGACAAGGATCTCCAGCAGCATATGCTCTGAATCAGCGTCTGCATATGCTGCTGCTTCTCTCATAGCCTGAATTCATGAGTCCAGGAATCAAGGGGTAGAAATGGGAGTGGAACCACTCACTATTGGTCCTAGTGACCATTAAAAAAAATTTTGCCTTCTATATCCATAATGATATACTCTGCTGGCCTTGACCTATTAGTTTCAAAGGGAGAAATGCTTTCACTAGAAGATTTAACAATGATTCTGTTGAACTGGAAGTTAAGACTGCCACAGGGTCACTTTGAGCTCATCATATCTGAATTAACAGGCAAGGAAGGAAGTTACTGTGGTGGTTCAGGTGATTGATCCTGACTACAAGGGAAAATTGGACTGCTATTTTGTAATGGAGGTAAGAAAGGGTATGTCTGAAATATAGGAGACCCTTTAGGGAGTTTTCTATTATTATCACACTGTGTGGTTAAAGTAAACGGGAAACTACAGCAACCCAATTTGGGCAGGACTACTGGCCCCACCATGTAAAGAACCATGACCAGCTGAGGTGCTTGCGGAAGGCAAAGGTAATATGTAATGAGTAGTGGAAGAAGATAGTTATGAATACCAGCTATGACCATGTGACTAGTTATAGAAACAAAGACTGTAATTGTCATGAGCATTTCTTCCTTATTTTTTGTGAATATATATGTGTGTATATAGCAAATAACTTTGTTTTCCTCCCTCTTTTATTCATTTTTCATGTAATATAAGAGGTATTTACTTTATATCATAGTATTTAAGTATTGTTAACTTTACCTTATAGTACTAAAGTGATGGAATATCAAAGAGAAGAGCAAACATTATCTAAGGACTTTGCATCCTCTTCAGGGGAAAGGACTGGTGCATTATTCACAAGGTAGTTGTAGAATGTTAGTTGGAAGTATAAACTTGTTATTGTCTTTTTTTGTTTGGAGATTAGACTTAGTTTATGGAGAATGTATATGGGCACCAAGTTGATAAGGGGTGTACTTATGATGGATAATTTTGTGTGTCAACTTGGAGGGTGTTTTTGGATGAGATTAACATTTAGATTGATAAACTTTGTGTAAACAGATTGCCCTTCATACTGTGGGTGGGGCTCATCTAATCAGTGGAAGGCCTGAGTAGAACAATTGACCTCCTCCAAGTAAGGGAAAATTCTCCAGCCTACTGGCCTTCAAACTCAAACTGGTACATTGACTCTGCAGATTTTGGATTTGCTAACATCCATAATAGTGTGAGCCAATTTCTTATATTAAAACTAAATTAGTAATGGAAACATGGCATACCTTGGGGATCTCAGAAAGCCTATGTGGCAATATCATTAACTTAATCAACATTGATTTGTTTATTTGACATAATGCATTGTTCCTGTAGAGTTTACCCTTCATCATCAAATGGTCCAGCAAAGTTATGTAAAAACTGAAGATTCTGTGGGAAGAGAAAAGCCTGTGCCATCATTCACTGATTTCTTCTATCTTCTGAAAATTCTCCACAAAAGTGGATATTTGTCAACTAAAGAAGGAAAAAAGAAAACCTCAATTGATTTTACTTCACCTTAATCAACCATATTTTAGCCAGAGTTTGCCCCAAATGACTTTTGTCTGTTTTCCATGAATAAAGATTGTCACCACAGAAGATGATGAAAAGTTTGTGCCATAGATTCTAAAAGACATTTTAACAGCCGAGTTCTGAAATTTTTTCAAGCAATAGCAGTATGATTGAATGGAGGGAATGTCTTCCAGGCTGACACTGAAAAGAATAGCACTTACTTGGGTATATATGATATGTATATATATATTATATATATACACACACACACATATATGATATATATATTATATATACACACATATATATGATATATGTATTATATATATATCATATATACCCAAGTGTGTGGGTATATATATATATAATGTGTGTTACATGTCATATATATACATATAACCTCTGACATAAATATGTGTGTGTATTTGTCCTTATGTACGTATGTTTCATTGTCATGGCTATTTTGTAGTGAAGTCAGACCTAAGACTCTAGAGCCACAAGTCAAAACAATGGAAGTAGGATGTTTGTGCAACATTCATCCCAGTGGGCAAGGAGCAGCAAAACCTCAGAAAGGCAATATGTGGAACACGGTCCCAGTGCCTTAGGATGGGACACTTAATCTTGCAGTAAGAATGGGAGTGACTTCTAAGCGAAGATGAAAATTTTTTCAGGTCCCACCCAGGTTACAAGCCTTTTCTACTAGCAGCCATGGGACTTCTATACTGCTTTCCATGGAGAAAGAGGAAAAGCCTGTTTTAGGGAACTGCATCAAATTATAGGCACAGAAATAGATGAGGATCTAGAAATGCAATTAAACCACTGTCAGCTCAATACTTGTAAGTCCAAGTTTCCAGCAACCACACAAAAGCCCGTAGGAATCTCCATAATTAACTAGCATATTGGCAATGATGACACATGAGTGCTCAGATGGAGGTGGGCTAGTGAGGATTAACAGGCAACATGGACAGGACTGAGGTTCAGGAAGGAATTCTGGAGCCAGGTGGCAAAGAAGAGAAAGGCTGGGGCAGGATCACTTCCCTGGATGCTCTTGGCTAAGGGTTTCACCAGCTCCAGGTAACACATCACACAGGGCTATAGCTTATAATATTTTATTTGTTGAATAAGTACAGATATACATTGAAGGGTCTATGCATGTATTTTTATTTTATTTTATTTTAGATTCAGTGATACATGTGCATGTTCGTTATATGGGTATATTGCTTGCTGATGGAGATTGGGCATCTAGTGTATTCATTACCCAAATAGTGAACATTGTACCCAACAGGTAATTTTTCAACATTCACCCCTCTCCCATCCTCTCCCCCTTTGGAATTCCCATTATTTCCATCTTTATGTCCATGTGTACCAATTGTTTAGCTCCCACTTATAAGTGAGAAGATACTGTATTTAACTGCCTGTTTCTGAATTAGTTTACTTAGGGTAATGTCTTCCAGCTCTATTTATGTTGGGGCAAATGACAGGATTTCACTCTTTTTTTATGACTATGTAGTACTCCATGGTGTATATATACCACATTTTCTTTATCCAGTCAACCACTAATGAATATTTAGTTTGATTCCATGATTTTACTATTGTGAATAGTGCTGCAATGAACATATGGGTGCAGGTGTCTTTTTAATATAATGATTTATTTTTCTTTGGGTAAATGCCCAGTGGTGGGATTGCTGGGTTGAATGGTAGTTCTATTTTTAGTTATTTGATAAATCATCATAATGTTTTCCATAAAGGTTGAACTAACTTACATTGCCACCAACAATGTTTAAGCATTCTCCTTTTTCTGCATCCACACAAACATCTGTTGTTTTCTGACTTTTATTAATAGCCATTCTGACTAATGTAAGATGATATCCAATTGTGGTTTTAATTTGTATTTCTCTGGTGACTAGTGATGTTGAGCATTTTTTCACGTATTTGTTGGCCGGTTGTATTTCTTCTTTTGAGAAATGTCTGTTCGTGTCCTTTGCCCAGTTTTTAATGGGGCTGTTTGTTTTTTCCTTGTTGAGTTGTTTGAGTTCCTTGTAGATTGTGGATATTAGTCCTTTGTTAGAGGCATAATTTGCAAATATTTTCTCCCATTCTGTAGGTTGTCTGTTTACTCTGTTATTTCTTTTGCTGTGCAGAAGATTTCTCGCTTAATTTAATCCCATTTGCCTATTTTTGTTTTTGTTGCATTTCTATGCATGTATTTTTAACCTCAAATTAACGGTTTTGTTGATCATTCTCAAGTTATGCTTCTTTTTTTTTGGCTTTATCATGTCTAGAACAACAAGAACCCTTTTTGCTATTATTAGGTGTTCCAGGCTGCTTGCGTTTCACTTAAGCTGGGTCCTCAGGACTGTCAGGGGGATAGAGCTGCTAGAGCTAGCTGGTGGGATCCAGACATGAGTGATAAATTGCCGTCTTTGAAATTCTCTTTTATGTCTTCCCTTTTCAGAAGTCAGAGTCAAGTATTGCAGGATGTCTGTGGCTTTGAATAGATGCTTCCCTGCTTGGGTGATACTTTTGCTTGTGAAGTGATTTTAAGAAAATTATCTGGGACAGTTCTCAATTGTAAGTCCTCCTCACAGTTATCTTTCTTTCGGGAATTTGACCCACTCTTTTACCCTTCCTTCTTTGCACTCTAAGAATATGAAGGTAGAGCTTTCTTTCCAGCTGCGCTTTGGCAGGATGAATTTACCATTGCCAATTCTGTGCAATTCCAAGCAATGTCACCAAACGTCCTTGCCCTTTTATTAATTCTGAAAATAAGATCTACTTGAGCATTGGCTCTGCAGTTAAAGAGTCACCGAAATGCCATGTCATTGTTAGAGGAAAGTTACTCTGGGAATGACCGTCAAGCTCTGGTTTTGCAGAGCTGAGGGGACTACATGAGCTGGAGTGAAACACAATATTCCAACTGGTGCTAATTCACATTGGTTGATTTCTGGTCCTCAGCCTTTCCATCCAGATTATGGGCACAAGGACACAATACATAAAAATCAATTAATTTTTGTGAAGATATTTAATGAGATTAATATTGAAAAGAAATTAAAGTGAGACGAATAAAAGAGTAAAATGAGATTAAAATTTAAAAAAAGAACTCAATATCTGCAAAACCCACCTCCATCTCTGCATTTAGGGTGCAATTAAACTCAGTCCTTCAGAAATGAGTCTCTCTCTCTCTCTGTGAGAATAATGGGAAGTTCTGATTATCAAAAGATCTTAATTATTCAGAAGCTAATTATTCTGCCACTGCATTAGCTTAGTTATTCTTTCTTTCTGCTGCCTACCTCTGGATCTTTTTCCTGACAATTAGTAGATCATGACACACAAATTTTTCACTGTGACTTCAGTTGTACAAATAAAATTGGCTTTTGTAATGATCTCCCCTCCTTTCCAACTCACTGGATAGTAGAGAAACTCAAACCTGGCCATTAACAATGTATCTGTCTTTTCCCGTTTCATCAGTCTCCTTTCATGTTAAGAACAATTGCTTTCAGAGTTCTACAGCCTCCCCCTTCTTCTCTTAGGAAGTACCTTGGTGTATGAAGGAGTTGATAGGGTCCTTTGAATCTCTTTTAGTATCTTTTGCAGAATGGTGAGCTGGGCTTGGCTAGAACCAGCATCCTCTGAGGTGCAAATGGCCCCATCCAGCCTTTTGGAGTGTGATAGCGTTCATTGCTACTAACCACTGACTTTGCCATTCCCTCTAGTCATTGAGTGTCGTATCCTCAGGGGCTTTCTCTTGCAGAACTTAGAACTATTCCAATCCCATGGTTTTCTTAGCACTGGGGCATGCTGCCAGCATTGGGAGGCCAGGGGCTAGTCCTCCTTTGCCTTCTTTCTCTCTCTCTCTCTCTCTCTCTATCTCCCTCTGTTGCTTGCGTCATTAAGCAAGTAGCTCCTAAGTCTAGAAGTAGCACACATAACTTCTACCTACATTCCCATTGGCTGCTGAAAGTACCTCAAGCAGGTCATTTGCTATATTAGAAATCAACAGCCTTCCTCTGTTGTGCCTTGGGAAATAAGCCACTAACCCTGATGTTCTTGGTGTCCCCTATACTTTCTTGGAAGCTTCTATGGCACCTTGACCCTACTTCTGGAGATGTACACTCAAGTCTGGGTAGAAAAGGGGTTGATTCCTTATCTTGGCTATTGTGAATAGTGCTGCAATAAACATGAGAATACAGCTATCTCTTTGACATACTGATTTTCTTTCTTTTGGATATGTATCTATCAGAGGGATTGCTGGATCATATGGTATTTTTATTTTTAGTTTTTTTTTTTTTTCTTTTTTTGAGGCAGAGTCTCACTCTGTCGCCTATGCTGGAGTACAGTGGCACGATCTCAGCTCACTGCAACCTCTGCCTCCCAGGTTCATGCCATTCTCCTGCCTCAGCCTCCCAAGTAGCTGGGACTACAGGTGCCCACAACCACGCCCGGCTAGTTTTTTGTATTTTTGATAGAGACGGGGTTTCACCGTGTTAGCCAGGATGGTCTCGATTTCCTGACCTCATGATCCGCCTGCCTTGGCCTCCCAAAGTGCTGGGATTGCAGGCGTGAGCCACCGTGCTTGGCCTATTTTTAGTTTTTTAAAGAACTTCCATACTCTTTTCCATGGTGACTGCACTAATTGACAAGAAATGGGAATCTTGACCTTTGTCATCTTTGTTCTACTTCTGTCTCTCTCTTGCTTCCCATAATTCATATGGGAAGCTCCCCTCTTCTTTCTGTTTGGGTAAGACTTCCCTAACGGCAGACTCTTCTTCTACTTCCCAAACTTACCTTGGCTCTTCGCCCTCCCCTAGAGTTCTAGCAAAATGGCTGCCATAGAATACTGTTTACAGAGAACAGGAATGCAACACACATTGACTTAGAAATATCAAATGATAATTCTTACTACATCTAATCTCTATCAGATGGCCAAGAGAAAAGAGAAGAGAAAAAGACAGAGAAGAGGCCATAAGATCCAAACCATTTGGTTATTAGATGGCAATCCCACTGAATGATTTGATGGGATATTAACTAAAACTGTTGGTTTAAATGGAAGTTTTAAATAATATGAGTATACCATTATATGTGTGTGCATATATATATGTATGTATGTATATGCATGTGTGTGTATATATATATAGACATATATACACATACACAAACATGCGTGCATGCACACACACAGAGATACTCTTCCCTACTCCTCTGGATGACTGAGAGTTGGTTATAACTACCATTTAAAACAAATTGTTATTAAAAATAGATAATTGGGAGCCTAGTACATGGATGATTCATCAATAATGGTAGCAAGAAGTTGGAAGGAAACATTAAAGAAGGGGTAGCAGAAACCATAGCAGAAATTGTGCTTACACTGATACATTCCCTGACCTCTATGTGGATTCATCCCACTGAGAACATGCTGCTGGAAACACAGGAAAAGCCTGTCTTGGCGACAGCTCACGATTCCTGTTATTCACGCAGACTCCCTCCTGCTTTTCTGTTTGAACCCACTGACACCTGAATCTTTAATCTTGTGGTTCTGCATTCTGATTTCCGAAACCTGCCTCAACCCTCTTCATCTGAAGCTTCATTTGAATCCTCTTCTCTGACTCTGACCCTCAGAATCTTCTCTCTGTGAGCATGACATTGCTTTCATCCACCTAAACCTGTGTGCAAGAGCAAGCGCCTCCTCTCCCTGCTTGCAGGATGCATACCTGCTGGACCAGCCTGCCTGGATTTCTTGCAAATGATGGGCTGGGAAGAACTGTGGAGTCACGTGCTCATCAATTCTGGCAGTGACAAAATATCTCCAACAAAAAACACTGCAGACATTCTTGCAAGACTTTACTTATCAACAGGCAAGTAGAAAACAAGTAGAATTGGCAAGTAGAAAACAGATGCAAAATTTAAATAACTTTGCATGGAGTCATAGAAAGAGAATTGGAATCAATCTTAGAAATCACCTAGTACAATGCTCATTTTTCTTAAGAGTGCACTGAGGTATTTGAAAGTTAATGGAATTACTACTTAAGATTATATAGTTATTTGTTACCAACATTTACAATCCTACCATGTATGAATGTCATTAACATCATCACTTGGAGGGTGGCAAGAATGCAATGTTGAATGACTGAATGTAATAGACTTACTATTGCAAGAGGCTGTTAAGTATGCCACAAATTACAACCAAATCCTTCATCTTATCTCACTAGTAGCACTGTATTCGTCAGTTCGTGTTTCTTTATAGAAATACCTGAGGCTGGGTAATTTATAAAGGTTTATTTGGCTTACAGTTCTGCAAGCTGCACATGAAGCACAGTGCCAGCATCTGCTTCTGGTGAGGGCCTCAGAAAGTTTCCAATCATAGTGGAAGGCAAAGAGCCATCATGTCACGTAGCAGGAGAGGGCACAAGGGGGCGGGAGAAGGTTCCACACTCTTTTAAACAACCAGATCTTGCAAGAACTTACTCACTGCCACAAGGAGGGCACCAAGTCATTCATGAGGGATCTGCCCCTATGACCCAAACACCTCCCACCCACCGCCAACATTAAGGATCACATTTCAACATGTGATTTGGAGGGGATACACTCCAAGCCATATCAAAAACTTTTAGCCAAGGATAACACATAAGGGACTTCCCTATTAAGATTAAGTGTATGAACAACAAGCATGGCATATGTTCATTGCAGCACTATTCACAATAGCAAAGACATGGAATCAACCCAAATCCCCATCAATGATAGACTGGATAAAGAAAATGTGGTTACATATACACCATGGAATGCTATGCAACCATAAAAAGGAATGAGATCATGTCCTTTTCAGTGACGTGGATGGAGTTGTAAGCCATTATGCTCAGCAAACTAACACAGAACAGAAAGCCAAACACCACATATTCTCACTTATAAGTGGGAGCTAAACAATGAGAACACATTGACACAGGGAGAGGAACAACACACACTGGAGCCTGTTGGGGGAGGGTGTGCGTGGGGGGAGAGCATCAGGAAAAATAGCTAATGCATGCTGGGCTTACTACTCGGTGATGGGTTGATAGGTGCAGCAAACCACCATGGCACACGTTTGCCTACGTAACGAGCCTGCACATCCTGCACATGTATCCCAGAACTTAAACTTTAAAAAGAAAAAGATAAAGTGTATGTCTGTTTCCCCCTAGATGATGTGTGTCCTTAGGATTAAAGAGTGTGCCTCATTCACATTTGCCTCATGACTAATACTGTGTTTGACCAGAGTCAGTGTTTAGCAAATTCTCAGTAATTTAAATGGAATGAAAAGGGACCATTCCTCTGTTTTGCTGTAATGCGTGAATTCCTAATTTGAGGTCCATAGGTGATCTTCAGAATGTCTGTGAATTTCCTGAAATAACATTCTAAATTGTACATGTGTGTGTTTGCACTTATACATCCCTGCTCACTCCAGGAGACATTACGGTTTTTGGCAGCAGCATCTCAAAGGGATTAAAAGATTAGTTTAGCAAAGGAAAGACTGACATGTTGAATGCACGTGTTGACTCACTGAGTTCCCCTGCAGTCTTCGGAGGTCCTGGAGGGCACGGGGCCAAAACAGCTAGAAATGGGAATTCCTCCAAACAGAAGCTTCGGCATCACTGAAGAGAGGGAAATGGCTCAGAGTGATCATGATGGAGTGGTTGTAACTCTCCAGCACCTATTGGAGAACAAAACAAGATAAATCACAGTGAGCCTAAGGGCAAGAGGCACAAAGTCTGACTCCACCTTTCTCCAACAGAAGAGCTGTGGACAAATATCTGTACCTTCTCTCATTCCTCTTTCTCCATACAGAGATTTGTTATTTCTCTCCACTCATATGACATTCCTGCCTCAATGAATCAATGAAACATTATTAGAAAGGAACAAACAAACATTAAATAAAGTTCAAAATGGAAGTGATTCATGTGCTTAAGCTATTTAAGCCAGATGCCACATAAAGTATTTCTCACTGAAAAAGACCCCAGGATTAGCTGACTACTCAAGTCTTTTCTCGAAAACCTAATGTATTTAATTGTGAGGAATCTTATATTGGTTACTTGTCCATGTAGAGGGCAAAGTCACAAACACCTCCCCTAAGATGTATGATGCTTAAAGAATTTACATTTATTTGTAGACATTCTGTTTGAAATTAGTTTCCTGTGTCTACTGATATCTGTTCGGGTTAAAACTGAAATTGTTTTAATTCCCAGAGCCCATACACACTGACAAGAGTTGAAAATTTTGATACATGCTGGCAGGCAGGAATCAGCTTAGAATTTAAAATATGAAGTGGATATTTCACAAAGCAGATAAAGTGCACGTGTAGGTGATAAATTATTAGGAACGGAGGGAGGGGCAGAGTAAGAATTTTTTTAAATAATTTGGGCCATACATTTATTGCACTTAATTTGCAATATAGAAAGTAATCACTTCTTCCTCTGAATTCTTACAGAACTTTCTGTTTAACTTAAGCACCCTGTACTTTTTTCACCTTTATTTTCATTATTTGTGTTTGTGTCTTGTCTTCTGCTGCCTTGTAATTCCTTGAGGACAGAGCTTTCAGCTTTTATAGTATTCAGTGTGCCGGAAAATGTTGGAAAGATACAAGAGGATTGTTTTTTTCTGAATTAACTTTTCTTTCTTTTTCGTTTTCTGTGAATCAACAAAAATGCCAGAAACATGAACCATATAGATAAGCAGAAACATAGAGCCAAGTAAAAGGTGAGAGGAGAACCATAAAAAATTTGTGCTAGTACATTGTATTATTCAAGGTGAGCTAGATAATGCTTTTATGCTGCAGCAACAAAGAAATTTGAAAATGTCAGTGGCTTACCACCCATGAAAAGTTTTAGTTTTATATTTTAACACAATTAAAGTTTTGCTTTTTTTATCATGAAATATCCAAAGAGTTTGTTCCTGATTAGGTGGCTCTCCAAGGCAGCTCTCTTCCAGATGAAGACTCAGGGACCCAGGTTCCTTCCTCCTAGTGGCTTCATTATTCTCAGCATCAAAACAGAGAGAGCATGTAAAGTATTTCTCAAGAAGTCACAGGGAACAAGTGTGCAAGTAGCACACATAACTTCCACACAAGTTCCAGTGTCAATAATGCATTTCATGGCTTCACTTTTAAGGGAGGATCAGACATGTAATCTTATGCCCAGGTTAGGGTATATAAGATGGGTGAAATAGGATGAAAAATATAAAGCATTATCTGCCACAGTGACCAAATATTCATTTTATCACTATTTGAGCTTATATGCTCATTCCTCCCCTTAACAACAACGACAAAGACTCCACATTTCATTGAATCATTGTATCTAGTTCAAAGTCCAGGATCTCTCAGTGATGTAAGTTTTTAATTTTCCTCTTCCTAGATTCAAATGTGACTTCTTAAAGCAATCTTTAAGAAAACATAAAATTATCTGGTTGTTTATACACACTCAAAACATAATCATGGAATAATGACAGATGCCAGCATCAAATACTCCCTGGCGAAAAGGGAAGGGAATAGATAGAAAACACTGATCTAGAGCATGATGAAATTCTGTAGAGAAGGCTTTGGAATGGCTCCCTACTGTCGGGATAGGCATAATTATTTAACTAAATCCTGCTACTGATTTTAAGAAGAAATCTCTTGTCCACTTTTCCCCATCACTCTTGGTTCAGTCCTTTGGGAAGTTTTTTTTTTTTTTTCCGTTTTCCTCCTTGGCTACAACAGAAATTAGCATTGAGGAGAATGCTCTCCATGAGATCTATAAAGCTTTTGCAGTCTGCTTCCTGTCCTAAGTCAGAGCCCAAACATAGTATGAGGTGTCTAATAGTCAAAGGCATTTTTAGT
Organism: Homo sapiens; assembly: GCF_000001405.40. NCBI lineage: Eukaryota > Metazoa > Chordata > Mammalia > Primates > Hominidae > Homo > Homo sapiens. The sequence goes on from NC_000001.11 coordinate 233,887,991, forward strand.
TGGAACTTATGTTTCTTTGGCTGTATATTTCTCTTAAAAATGTATCTGTTGGCTTCCAGTTGGTTCTATGTGCCATCAACTATGCCCCAATTTTTTTTGCTAGACATAGTTTTCATGTCTGCCTTACTTCTTTGCTTTCTCTTCGAAAATTATTGCCTTTTAATTTAAAGGCAACTACACTGAGGCTAGTAGGACTGGGAAGATTCACGTTTCATTTTTCAAAGCCTTCAAAGTCTCATATCATACTCTTTGGAGTCTAGAAGCAAATGGCTTTATCAGTCCTGCATGACTCTGAATTTCTAGACAGTATCTGTTTCTTTTCTTTTCCTCTTACAAGTTGGCATTCTCTCTGGAACTCATCTCTTTCTTATAATGCCTTAACAAACACAGATGATAGTAGCCAATATGGTTTGGCTCTGTGTCCCCACCCAAATCTCACCTTGAATTGTAATAATCCCCATGTGTCATGAGAGGGACCAGGTGGGAGGTAATTGAATCATGAGGGCGGATTTTTTCCATGCTGTTCTCATGATAGTGAATAAGTCTCATGATATCTGATGGTTTTATAAAAGGGAGTTCCCCTGCACAAGCTCTCTTGCCTGCTGCCATGTAAGACATGACTTTCCTCCTCATTCACCTTCCACCATGATTATGAGGCCTCCCCAGTCATGTGGAACTGTGAGTTCATTAAACCTATTTTTCTTTATAAATTACTCAGTCTTGGTATATCTTTATTAGCAGTGTAAGAACAGAATAATACAGTAGCCAACACAGAGGAATACTTTGAAACATGTAGCATTGTCTTTGCTACAATTATGTCACAGTCATATTTGAGGATATTGATCTTAACTGATCTGGTCAAATATTTGCAGAATCTGAGTAAAGACTTTGTTTTCTAATGCACATTGTGCAACATTAGAAATCTACTTTTCTTTCCATGATAGTGGTTAATCCACCAATAATATTTACTTAGTCATTGAGAATGGGAAGAGTTAGAAAAGATGAAAAACATGATGCCTAAATTAAAAGAGGCTGCCATTTATTGGGACATAATAAACAAAATGCAGTACGTGTGGGCATATATCTTGTATCAGTTCATTTTCACGCTGCTGATAAAGACATACCCGAGACTGGGTAATTTACACAGGAAAAAGCGTTTAATGGACTTACAGCTCCATATGGCTGGGGAGGCCTCACAATCATGGTGGAAGGCAAGGAGGAGCAAGCCACGTCTTACATGGATGGCAGAAGCCAAAGAGAGAGAGAGAGCTTGTGCAGGGGAAATCCTCTTATAAAACCATCAGATCTTGTGAGACTTATTCACTATCACGAGAACAGCATGAGAAAGACCTGCCCCCATAATTCAGTTACCTCCCACTAGGTCCCTCTCACAACACATGGAAATTCAACATGAGATTTGGGTGGGGACATTGCCAAATATATCATATCTCTATCTATCTATCTATCTATCTATCTATCTACCTACCTACCTATCATAACCCATATACCTTACATAAGATATCAGAGAAATATATCACAGCAACTATATTTTCTGACCCAAAAATTGTGACATATTATCTGACAAAGACCATACTCTTTGAAAACAATGGAACAGGGAATTTGAAATCACAACTGATTCAGAAAATTCAGGACAGTTGGTTGCTACACATACTGTCTGGGTTAAAGCCCCAGAGGAAATTGGCTGGGAGGACATTTGAAGTCTCCCCAATGCCAACCTTTTATGGAGAATTTAGTGTTAACCTAGAAGTGGATACTGACAATAGCAGATAGTCTAAATAAATTTTGTAAAGTTGCATGCAATTAATTCCTCACATAGCTTATTTTCCAATTACTGTCTCCCTCAGTTTTACTCGTTTCCTCATTTGTTTAACGAATAATTATTTTAGCAGAACCTACACAGGTATTACATCAGATATCAGAGTCACAATGAAAGCAAAAGAATTTTTGCCTCATATAATTTTTAGCCTAGTGTGGGAATCAGGCACTAACCAAATAACACTGTAACTTAATCTGTAATAATACTCTGAGAAGGGTTATAAAGGCAATTATAGAGTATCATAGGGTTATAAAGGGAAAACTTGGTCCAATTTGGGAAGGGTCAGGAAAGCCTTCCTGGAGAGAGGCAGTCTCAGCAGAAAATTCAAGGCAGGTGAAGGAGTTGACAAGGTATGGAGGTGGGAGGTGGAAGGCCTTCCCAGGCAGGGAGGGTGTCTTGTGCACTACCCAGAAGGCAAGAGAAAGTAAAGCACATTCCATGGGCTCCAAGAGGCTGGTATGGATAAAGAACAGCTACAGGGTGCAAGTCAGGAGGCAGCTCAGGAGAAGGATTGGGTCTTGATATGGTTTGGCTGTGTCCCCACCCAAATCTCATCTTGAATTGTAATTCCCATAATCCTCACAAGTCATGGGAGGGACCCAAAGGGAGGTAATTGAATCATGGGGGCAGTTACTCCCATGCTGCTGTTCTCATGATAGTGGTGAGTTCTCGTGAGATCTGATGGTTTTATAAGGGGTTTTCCCCCTTTTGCTAAGCACTTCTCCTTCCTGCCATCATGTGAAGAAGGACATGTTTGCTTCCCCTTCTACCATGATTGCAAGTTTCCTGAGGCCTCCCCAGCCCTGTGTAATTGTGAGTCACTTAAAGCTTTTTCCTTTATAAATTACCCAGTCTCGGGTATGTCTTTATTAGCAGCATGAGAACAGACTAATACAGTAAGTTGGTATCACAGAGAGTGGGGGTGCTGCTATAAGGATATCCAAAAATGTGGAAGTGACTCTGGAACTGGGTAACAGGCAGACGTTGGAACAGTTTGGATACTCAGAAGAAGACAGGAAAATGTGGAAAAGTTTGGAAATTTCTAGAGACTTGTTGAATGGTTTGACCAAAATATTGATCATGATATGGACAATGAAGTCCAGGCTGAGGTGTCTCAGAGGGAGATAAGGAACTTGTTGGGAACTGCAGCAGAGGTGACTCTTGTTATGCTTTAGCAGAGAGATTGGTGGCATTTTGCCCCTGCCCTAGAGATTTGTGGAACTTTGAACTTAAGTGAGATGATTTAGGGGAACTGGTGGAAGAAATTTCTAAGCAGCAAAGCATTCAAGAGGAAGCAGAATATAACAGTTTGGAAAATTTGCAGCCCAACGATACAGCAGAAAAGAAAAACTCATTTTCTGAGGATAAATTCAAGCCTAGTGCAGAAATTAGCATAACAAATGAGGAGCCAAATGTTAATCACCAAGACAATGGGGAAAATGTCTCCAGGGCATGTCAGAGGTCTTCACAGCAGCCCCTCCCATCACAGGCCCAGAGGCCTAGGGGGAAAAATGATTTTTGGACTGGTCCCAGGGCCCCTCTGCTGCTCTGTGCAGCCTTAGGACTTGGTGCCCTGTGTCCTATGTATAGCTAAAAGGGGCCAATGTACAGCTCAGGCCATTGCTTCAGAGGATGCAAGCCCAAGGCCTTGGCAGCTTCCACATATTGTTAAGCCTGTGGGTACGCAGAAGTCAAGAATTGAGGTTTGGAAACCACCACCTAGATTTCAGAGGATGTATAGAAACACCTGGATTTCCAGGCAGAAGTCTGCTGCAGGGGCAGAGCCTTCATTGAGAACCTCTGCTAGAGCAGTGCAGAAGGGAAATGTGCAATTGGAGTCCCCGCACAGAGTCTCCACTGTGGCACTGCCTGGTGGAGCTGTGAGAAGATGGCCATCATCCTGCAGACCCCAGAATGATAGATCCACTAACAGCTTGCAGCTTGCACCATGTGTCAGGAAAAGCCATAGGCACTCAACACCAGCTCATGAAAGCAGCATGGAGGGAGGCTGTACCCTGCAAAGCTACAGGGGCAGAGCTACCCAAGGCCATGGGAGCCCACCTCTTGCATCAGTGTGACCTGAATGTGAGACATGGAATCAAAGGAGATCATTTCGGAGCTTTAAGATTTGACTGCCCCACTGGATTTTGGACTTGCATGAAGCCTGTAGCCCCTTTGTTTTGGCCAATTTCTTCCATTTGGAATAGGTGTTTTTACCCAATGCCCCCCATTGTATCTAGAAAGTAACTGATTTGCTTTTGATTTTACAGGCTCGTGAGCAGAAGTGACTTGTCTTTTCTCAGGTGGACTTTGGACTTGGACTTTTGGGTTAACGCTGGAATGAATTAAGACTTTGGGTGACTGTTGGGAAGGCATGATTGTGTTTTGAAGTGTGAGAACATGATATTTGGGAGGGGCCAGGGCAGAAGGATATGGTTTGGCTGTGTCCCCACCCAAATTTCATGAATTGTAGCTCTCATAATCCCCACATGTCCTGGGAGGGACCCGGTGGGAGGTAATTGAATCACAGGGATGGTAACACCCATGCTGCTATTCTCATGATAGTGAGTGAGTTCTCATGAGATCTGATGGTTTTATAAAGGACTTTTCCCCCTTTGCTTGGTACTTCTTCTTGCCATCGTGTGAAGAAGGATGTGTTTGCTTCCCCTATCACCATGATTGTAAATTTACTGAGGCCTCCCTAGCCCTGTGGGACTGTGAGTCAATTAAACATCTTTCCTTTATAAATTACCCAGTCTTGGGTATGTCTTTATCAACAGCATGAAAGGGGACAAATACAGGTCTCTTGCTTAAATAAATGAGATACCACTGAAAGAGCTTTACATGGGAAAGTGACATGATCAAATGGCCTTTGCAAGGATTGCTCTGGCAAAGGAGGTAGAGGGAGTGGATGTGGGAAGGAGCCAGTTAGGATTCTACTTCAGTATTCCAAGAAGTAATAATGGTGGCTTTATTTACAAAGCTCTTTGTGGCTTCTCCACTCTCCACCTATTACAGCCTCCTCATCCATACTGTACCCTCTAAATAGGTTGCTGTCTTACACCTCCAGGCCTTTGCACCTATTGCTTTTTCCTTCTTTAACTCCTTCTTCTTGTTTTCCTGGCTAATTTCTATTTATTTTTCAAAACTAATTTGTGTCATTGTATTAGTCCATTTTCATGCTGCTATAAATAACTACATGAGACTGGGTGATTTGTGAAGAAACGAGGTTTAATTGACTCACAGTTCTGCAGGCTACACAGGAAGCATGACTGGGAGGCCTCAGGAAACTTACAATCATGGTAGAAGGTGAAGGGGAAGCAAGCAGCTTCTTCACAGGGCAACAGGAGAGCGAGAGAGAGTGAGGGGGGAGGTGTCACACCTTTAAGCCATCAGATGAGAACTCACTCACTGTTATGAGAACAGCGTGGGGGAAGTCCACCCCCATGATCCAGTTGCCTTCCACCAGGTCCCTCCCCTGACACATGGGGATTACAATTCGACATGAGATTTGTGTGGGGACACAGAGCCAAACCATGTCAGTCATCTAATCTGGGAAGCCTTATCTGACATCTCTCTGGTGCCCCATCTTCTTCATTCTTTCTCTAGTACTGACTTGTAAATCCCTCCTGCATGCTTCCCTAGTGTCATTTGCATGCATCCACCATGGCCCATGTTGCACTACATTGCAATTGTTTGTCTGTTTATTTATTACGTTGTGGGTTTGTTAAGGGCAGAAAATGACTGTCTTATTTGTCTTACTAGCCTCCATCTTAGAACCTAGCACACAGCATGTACTCAATACATTTTTATTTAATTAATTTAAAAACAGACGTATATGTAAATATCCTAAATATTTCAGGAAACCTGGACCTTTTGTAAAAAATAAATCATTCTCATGTCAAAAAACACATTTTTAATAAAGTTATTTTTAAAAGTTAATGAGTTAAACTTTCATTTGGTGATTTAAAAAATACAGTTATTATCCATGGGGAATTGATTCCAGGACAACCCTTTTATCCCCCAACCCCACCAAAATCTGCAGATGCTCATGTCTGCTCAAATAATTTGCATATAAACTACACACATTCTCCTGAATATGTTAAATCATCCATAGATTACTTATAATACCTAATGCAATGTAAATGCTGTGTAAACAGTTGTTATAATGTACTGGGGTTTTTTGTTGTTTTTATTTTTATTTTTATAATTTCAACTTTTATTTTAGATTTGGGGGGTACATGTGCAGGTTTGTTATCTGGGTATATTGTATGTTATGTGTTGATTTTTAAATTTGTATTCTTTTGTATTGTGTTTTTTCCAAATAGTTTTTGTCTGAGGCTGGTTGACTCCAACAATGTAGAACTCGGAAATACAGAGGGCTGACTGTAAGCTATAGAAACATATATGCAGAATTTATTCCTTATTTAAAAGTAGCATATGATCAGCTTGGCTTTCAACCCAGGACTCATTGGAAGAAATTTACTCATTGAGGTTTTATTATGGGAAGAAAATGAAAAGCGCATAACTTCATTCAGGCAGTGAGTATAATTCCTTTAGACAGAGGATACAGATATATTGACTGGTTGCTGTTGAAACCCTCGTCTCAGAACTGAAATCAATCAAAAGTGAATACAGTGCCAGCTAAGCAAAATGAAGCCAGTGCATGATCATTTCTATCCTTGACCCCTTTCCTTCAAATTAACCCAGGAACCATAGGGAAGACAGAAGGGGAAAAGCATCTTTACATGTTACATTTCTGAATATATCCTGATAAATGTGTTAGCTTTGATATAATTACACACATGTTTTGAAAAAGAAAAATAGATAAACATATATAAAATTGTGTATCAGGAATATATCTACATGCAGATAGGATGTATCAAATTTTGGAGTGCCAACAATTAGAAAAGCCAGTATATATTTTTAAAGACATCAGAAAGCTGTGGAAGGAACATGTATTAGGTGAATTAATAATCTAGAGAATTAATTCTATTCTAAGGTGAGCTGATGGTTGCCAACAGCCATTTGTTTGTTTTTTGTTGGTTTGTTTTATACCTGGGAGCACTTGCCAATTTGGAGTGCAAGCCAAAAGTTGAAAAAGACCCTGGAAGAGGGCCTTTTCCTAAGATCAGTGAAATTAGTGAGGGTTTCAGTGATTAAACAGAGCTGGGGAATAAATTGGAAACTTAAAGGGCCCCAAGTTTTCCCCATGGAATATTTACTAAGTTCTGGGGTTGGATGAGAGGTGGAAGAAGTAGGTCAAAACTTCTAAAGACAGAAGAAGCCATATCTTAGTGGTGATTAAGCAACAAAGACTCACCGAGAGAGGGACTGACTAAAAAATGCCAACAGTCTCTCTCTTAAGCTATTTAGCGATTTTTAAAGCTATAAAGATAGGTGGCTGGAGACCTGGGCTGGGGATCTCTGAAGCGCAGAGATAGATTTCTTGCTGTGAAAGCCCTAGGAGGACAATGCACAAAGAAAAAGGGAAAAGTAGAGCTAGAACCTTACTAAAACTGCAATTAAACCTCAAGCCAGTTTACTGTCTGATTAGGTTAAGATGATCTATTTGTCATGCTACCTGATTAACAGAAGAAGAAAATATTCTCTTCTGGGGAATACAATCATCTGAAGGCTCTATAGTGTTTCAAATCAAAACATCTAGAATAGGAAAAAATTACTAGACATGCAAATAAGCAAGAAAATATGACCAAAAATCAACAGAAAAATAGACAATAGAAGCATATTCACATATGACCTCCATATTAGAGCTAACAGATAAGAACTTTAACATAACTATGGCGAATATGTTAAAAGAACCACAGAGAAGCTCTTTGAAAAATGCTTAATTGCAGTCCATATATAGAAGTTTCTTACTGAGGGATCTGAAGAGCAGTCTGAAATTAGTGTGTAAAAATGCTTCCACATGGTTTTGAGACACTCCTTTCTCTAAGGGGTGTCATTCACTAGTTATCTACATCAGCCTCATCAGGTTGCCTATTAAAATTTAGCTTATCAGGCCTACTTGGAGGGGGGAACCTTCCCTATAATTGGATAGGATATGAGAGCCTGCATTTTGAAGTAGCATCTGAGGTGATTCTGGAGAACTATAAACTTTAAGAACCAGGAGCATAGAGAATTTCTGCTTTGTGATTCTGAGGATTCTGAATATCCCAGGCAGAGCTGGTCTCAAGATCTTGTTGATATTCTTGAGGCACCCATAATGTCTACAGGTTATAATAAAATCAACTTACACCAAATTGTACCACACATGCACAGTTATTAAACAAACAGCATTTACTGGCAAGTGTTCAGAAAAATGTTTATATGGCCTGTTTCGTAGCTCACACAAAGGGCAGCATTCTGTTCTTATAGACCCTCTAACCACAAAAAAACATAAAAAGCTCACTCAGAAGCAACAATATTCTAGAGCAGGATTCTTTGCCCAGGTTGGAGTGCAGTGGCACGATGATCTCGGCTCACTGCAACCTCCGCCTCCCAGGTTCAAGCGATTCTCCTGCCTCAGCCTCCCAAGTAGCTGGGATTACAAGCACGCACCACCATGCCCAGCTAATTTTTGTATTTTTAGTAAAGACGGGTTTCTCCATAGTTGTTAGGCTGGTCTCAAACTCCTGACCTCAGGTGGTCCACCCACTTCAGCTTCCCAAACTGCTGGAATTATAGGCGTGAGCCACTGCGTCCTGCTCTACTACTCTTAGAGTTGGCATCAGGCAACTAAAATTATATAAATGTTGGCTGGAAAAACGATGGCAAATTTTGGGTACTATCCCTAGGAATAGAAGTTAAATCCTGGGTAACCTGATGGAGAGGGTCTCTGAAATATTGTATCCAATCCACACACCATGTACATCTGTAATTCCCCAAGGCAAACTCATTTCTTACACTTATAGATACCATTTAAAAAGCAAAATTTTCACCAGTGAGAGCCCACTTCTGATATTCACTGTGCCAAAATGCAAAGCATTAGGTGTTAATTGACATGTGGATAATAGAAGAACCTATGGTGGCTGTTCTGCAATGTGGCATTTATGGTATAATGCTGGCTGATCACAGCTGATTGGAAGAGTGGTTTGCTGGCCTCGACTAGTGAATGCACACCTGGTATCACATGGTCCAAGCCAAAGTATTTAACTTGAGAGTTATAGCCATAAAGAGAACTGTCTGGAGAGGTGAGGGTACCGAGGGGTAAGGAGATAAAAGAGGTTCCCCTGTAGCACTTGGTGGGAGCAGCAGCAGTAATTGCAATGGCTGACAAAGTCCAGATCCAGAAACTTCCTGAGATGTTATGGAAATTGCTACATTTGACAAGTGGAAACGTTATAGAAGTGACAATAATAATCATTGCAATATTTACTGATAATAATCATTGCAATATTTACTGAGCACTAAACTCAGGCTCTGCGCTGTGCTAACTTCTTAATTGTTCAATTCATTTAATCTTTATAATAACTATTTGAGATTGATGCGAAAAATGAGGATTGGAGGAGTTCAATACCTTTCCCAGTTTGTCCAGCTGGTGAGTGGAGAAGCCAGTATTTAAGCCATTGTATTTGATTCCAAAACCCAAGCTATTGACTTTTTAAAAGGGAGAGGAGAGTGATGTGGCTTAGCAACTGCACATGTAAAAATTAAATAGGGATTTTAGTCAACATGAAACTTGGGTATGAGTCAACAGTTTCATGTGGCTGTCAAAAAGCCGAAGTCAACCTTTAGCTGCACTGCTAATTATATTAACTCAGATCTGTTGAGTACGGGGCATGTGCTAAGCACTTTACATGTATTAATGCATTGTATCTTTACAACAGTCTTACAAGGTCTTCCCTTTTATATTGATGAGGGAACTGATAGAAAGGTTAAAGACCTTACCCAGAGTTAGAGCAGCCTAAGAGAGAGAATGTGGTGATTAAATGGGGAGAGGCCTATATTCTGGTTATGCCTGAATCTTACCCTTAGTTTACCCAACGTGATTTTAAAAGCAAGGGGAGGATTTTGAGCTAACAAAACTTCGGTCATTGTTTACATTAGTGGTTCTCAAACATTAGTGTGCATAAAGTTTGTCTGGGGAATTCAGTGAAATTTACAACTCCCATGCCAACTTTGAGAGGTGATGATTCAGAATTAGCATTTAAACAACTGTCATGAGTGATCTCATGTCGGGTTGTGCTCAATGATCCCCTAAGGATGCTCTGAGAAACATTCGATGAGGTGTTCTTTGTAGTAGTTCAAGACTAGCTTAAGATGAAATACTTCAGGTATAAGGAAAAAAGGAGTCTTGTCCTACAGTCTCAGAAAGAGGGATTAAAAGCTTTCTGGCACACACGAAAGTGCACATGCATTCACACACACACAGAAAGAGGGAGAGAGAGCACCTTGTTTCTAAGGATCTCACAAAAAGAAGAGTCAAATTTATGTAGAATTATGAAGGATCTTATTTTTAATTTATACACCCAGATATTACTTGTTACTTTTAAAATAATGGCTTTGTAGTTTTTATTATTATAACAGCTATACAATAACAATACAGCAAGTGAGAATAATATTTTATCCAAAATATTACTGCCCAGAACAATGTCAAGATTTCCCCCTGTGCTTTCTTTATGAGTTTGATAGTATCAGGTCTTATGTTTAAGTCTTCAATCCAGCTTGAGTTGATTTTTGTATATGGTTTGAAATAAGGGTCAAATGTCATTCTTCTGCATGTGGTTATCCAGTTTTCCCAATACCATTTATTAAAGAGACTTTCCTTTCCCCATTGTATGTTCTTAGCACCTTTGCCAAAGATCATTTAACTAAATGTGTGAATTTATCTCTGGGCTCTCACTTTTGTTCCAGTAGGGTATAGGTCTGTTTTCATGGCAGTAACATGCTGTTTTGATTACTATAGCTTTGCAGTGCATTTTGAAATCATGTAGTGTGATGCTTCCACCTTCATTGTTTTTGCTCAAGATTGCTTTGGCTATTCAGGGTCTTACAGGGTTCCACACAAATTTCAAGATTGTTTTTCTATTTATGTAAAAAAATGGCATTGGAATTTTGATAGGGATTGCATTGAATCTGTGGATAACTTGGGGTGATATAGACATTTTAACAATACTAATCTTCCAATCCATGAACATGGGATATATTTCCATTTATTTGTGTCACCTTAAATTTCTTTCATCAATGTTTTAAAATCAGTGAACAAATGTTTTACCTCTTTGGTTAAATTTACTCCTAAAATTTTAAATTTTTTGGTAGCTATTATAAATAGGATTTATTTCTTGAAATATTTTTTCAGATCTTTGTAGATAGTGTATAGTGTATAGGAAAGCAATTGATTTTTGTATTTTGATTTTGTATCCTGTAACTTTATTGAATTCATTTATTCTACCAGTTTTTTTTGTTGGAGATTTTAGGGCGATATATATCATATATATATATGATAATGTCATCTGCCAAAAAAAGACAATTTTACTTCATTCTTTCCAATCTGGATTTCTTTTATTTCTTTTCTTGTCTGGTTGATCTCACTAGGACTTCTAGTACTATATTGAATAGAAGTGATGAGAGTGACATCTTTGTCTTGTTCCAAACCTTAGAGGAAACATTTTTAACTTTTCATCATTGAGTATAATGTTAGCTGTGGGTTTTTATACATGGATTTTATTATGTTGAGATATATTCCTTTTATGCCTAATTTGTTGAGAGCTTTTATCATGGAAGGATATTGAATTTTGTCAAGTGCTTTTTCTACATTTAATAAGATGATCATGTGGTTTTTTATCCTTCACTCTATTGATGTGGTATATTACATTGATTTGTGTATATTAATCAATTCCTGCGTCCAGGGATAAATCTCACTTGATCATGGTGTATGATCCCTTTAATATGCTGTTGAATTTGGTTTGCCAGTATTTTGTTTAGGACTTTTGCATCTACGTTCATCAGGGATATTGGTCTATAGTTTTCCTTTTTTGTAGCCTTCTTCTCTGGCTTCAGTATTATGGTAAGCTGGCTTCTTAAAATAAATTGGAAAGTCTTCCCTTCTCTTCAATTTTTTGGAAAAGTTTGAGAAGGACTGATATTAACTCATTCTTAAATGTTTTTTAGAATTCATCAGTGAAGCCATTAGGTCCTGGGCTTTTCTTTCTTGGGAGGATTTTAATTACTGGTTCAATCTTCTTACTAATTATAGGTCTATTCAGATTTTCTATGTCTTCATTAGTTAGTCTGGGTAGTTGTATGTTTCTAGGAATTTATCCATTTTTTTCTAGGTTATCCAGTTTGTTGGTGTATAGTTGTTCATAGTAGTTTCTTAAGATACTTCGTATTTCTGTGGTATCAGTCGCAATATTTCCTTTTTCAGTTCTGATTTATTTGAGTCTTCTCTCTTTTTTCTAGTTTGTCTAGCTAAAGGTTTGTCAATTTTGCTTTTTTTTAAAAAAAATTGACTCTTCACTTCACAATTTTTTGGATATGAACCCCAAAGCACACTCAACAAAAGCAAAAATAGATAAATAGGATTGCATCACACTGAAAAGTTTCTGCCCACCAAAGGAAATAATCAACAGAGTGAAGAGACAACATAAGGAATGAGGGAAGATGCTTGTAAACCATATATCTGATAAGAGGTTAATCACCAAAATACATAAGGAACACAAAAACTCAGTAGCAACAAAACAAATAACCCAATTAAAAAATGGACAAAGGACAGGAATAGACATTTCTCAAAAGAAGACACACAAATGGCCAAAAGGTATATGAAAAAATGCTCAATGTCAGTAATTATAAGAGAAATGCAAATTAAAATGACAACGAAATATCACCTTACACCTTTTAAAATGGCTTTCTTCAAAAAGACAAAAGAAAACAAGTATTGGTGAGGCTATGGAGAGAAGGGAACTCTTATAAACTGTTGGTGGGAATGTAAATTAATACAGCCATTATGGGAAAATGTATGCAGGTAACTGAGAAAACTAAAAATAGAACTACCATATGATCCAGCAAACCAATTTCTGGGAATATATCCACAGGAAATGAAATCAGTATATCAAAGAGATATCTGCACTCCTATGTTTATTGCAGCACTGTTCACAATAGTCAAGTTATGAAATCATCCTAAGTGTCAATTGATGGATGAATAGATAAATAAAATATTATATATACACATATATTTATACACACACATGCAATGAAATACTCTTCAGCCTCAAAAAGAAAAGACAATCCCGTCATTTGCAATAACATGGATAAGCCTGAAGGACATTGTGCTAAGTAAAGTAAGCCAGGTATGGAAAGACAAATACCACATGATCTCACTTACAAGTGGAACATTTTAAAAAGTTGAACTCATAGAAGCGGAGAGCAGAATGGTGATTGCTAGAAGCTGTGACTATGGGGAGGAATGGGAAGATGTTGGTCAAAGTGTGCAAGGTTTCAGTTAGACAGGGTGAATAAGATCTAGGGTTCTAACATACAGCGTGGTGAGTATAGTTAACAATAATGTATGTATACTTGAAAACTGCTCACAGAGTAAATCTTACATGTTCTCCTAAAAAATGTTAAGTATTTGGTGTGTCAGATATGATAATTAGTTTGATTTAATCATTTTACAGTGTATCCATATATCAAAACATCATGTTTTACACTGTAAGCATATATAATTTCTATTTGTCACTTAACCTTAATAAAACTGGAAAATATTTTAGAAGAACATAGTGACATAGAAAAGCAGCATAATGAAGTTTTTAAAATAGACTTTTTTTAAAGAACGATTTCAGGTTCACAGCAAATTTGAGGAGAAAGTACAGAAAGTTTTTAAATACCTTCCCCCTGTCACACACCCACAGCTTCTCTCCACCCACGTCAACATCCTGCACCAGTGGTACATTCGTTACAAATAATGAGCCAACATTGACACATCACTATCACCCAAAGTCTATAGTTTACATTGGGGTTAACTCTTAGGGTTGTGCATCCACTGAGTTTTGACATATGTATAATGATATATATCTACCATTACAGTACTATACAAAATCAACCCACTGCCCTAAAAATCCTCTGTGTTCTGCCTGTTCATCCCATCCTCTCCCCAACCATTGGGAACCAGTGATCTTTAAACTATCTCCATAGTTTTGCCTCTCTCAGACCGGTTTCTTTCACTTAGCAATATGTTTTCAATTTCCTTCATGTCTTTTTGCAGCTTGATAGCTCATTTTATCACTGAACGGAATATTCTTTTGTATGGATGTACCACAGTATGTTTATTCATTCAGCTACTGAAGGACATCTTGGCAATCATGAAAAAAGTTCCTATAAACATTTGTGTGCAGATTTTTGTGGGGACTTAAGTTTTGAACTCATCCAGGTAAATATCAAGGAGCATGACTGATGGGTTGCATGGTAACAGTATGATTAATTTTGTAAGGAACTCAAACTGTCTACCAAAGTGCTGTACCATTTTGCATTCCCACCAGCAATGAATGAGAGACTTCTTGCTGTTCCACATCCTGCCAGCATTTGATGTTGTCAGCGTTTGGGATTTTATTCATTCTAGTAGGTGTATAGCAATACATCTTTTTTGTCTTAATTTGGAATTCCCTAATGATGTATGATGTGGAGCATCTTTTCATGTGCTGATTTACCATCTGTATATCATCTCTATTGATATGTTTGTTCAGCTGTTTTGCCAATTTTTTAATTGGGATCATTTTCTTATTGTTGAGTTCTAATTATTCTTATTTTTTATTACAGTTCTTAATCATGTATATGATTTGACATATTTTCTATTGGTCTGTAGCTTTTCTTCCCATTGTTTTAACAGTGTCTTTTGTAGAGCAGAAGTTATTAATCTTAACGAAGTCCAATACCAATTTTTACTTTCATGGATCATGCCTTTGATGTTGTATCTAAAATGTCATTTACAAACCCAAGGTCACCTAGGTTTTCTCCTTTTTATCTTCTAAGAGTTTTATAGTTTTGCATTTTATATTTAGGTCTATGATCTATTTTGAGTTAATTTTTGTGAAAGGTGTAAGGTCTGTATCTATGTATCCAGCTTCTTTTCTTTTTTTCTCTCTTTCTTTCTTTTTTTTTTTTGTGATTGGATGTCTAGTTGTTCTAGCACCATTTGTTGAAAAGGTGATCTTTTCTCCATTAGATTTCTTTTGCTCCTTTGTCAAAGATCACTTGACTCTATGTGTGGGTCTATCTTGGCCTCTCTATTCTGTTCCATTAATCTATTTGTCTGCTCTTTCACCAATACCACACTGTCTTGATTACTGTAACTATAGTAAGTCTTGAAGTTGGGCAATATCAGTCCTCAGACTTTGTTCTTCTCCTTTAATATTGTGTTGGCTATTATGGGTCTTTTGCCTTTTCATATAAACTTGAGAATCAGTTTGTGATATTCACAAAATAACCTCCTGGGATTCTGATTGGAATTACTTTGAATCTATAGATGAAGTTGGGAAGAACTGACATCTTAACAATATTAAATTTTTCCATCCATGAACATAAAATATCTCTCTATTTATTTAGTTCTTTGATTTCTTTCATCACAGTTTTGTAGTTTTTCTCATATAGATATTGTACATATTTATTAGATTTGTACCTAAATATTTCATTTGAGTGGTGTGCTAATATAAATAGTATTGTGGTTTTAATTTCAAATTCCCATTGTTCGTTGCTAGTATATAGAAAAGCAGTTGACTTTTGTACATTAATTTTGTATCCTTCAATCTTACCATAATTGCTTATTAGTAACAGGAGAGTTTTTTTGTCAATTGAAATTTTTCTACATCAACAGTCATGTCAGCTGCAAAGACAGTTTTCTTTTACCTTTTCCTTCACAATACGTATACTTTTAATTTCCTTTTCTTGTCTAATTTCATTAGCTGGGACTTTCAGTATGATGCTGAAAAGGATTGCTGAGTAGAGACATACTTGCCCTGTTCCTTATTTTAACAGGAAAGCTTCTAGTTTCTCACCATTAAGCATGGTGTTAGCTGTACGCTTTTGTAAATGTTCTTTTTCAAGTTGAGAAAGTTCCCCTCTATTCATAGTTTGCTGCTATACAATATGATTTTAATATAAAAAAAGCAGTACATAAAGTAGTGTGTACAATTTCATTCCGATTTTTGTGACAACTGTATTTTGCGTTGGAAAAAAGCCTGGAAGAGAATACGTTCATAATTGAAAGTCGTCATTTTTGGCTGGATAATGGATATTTTCTTCTCCACATACTTCTATCTTTTCTAAATTTGCCCCGATGAAAAATAATATTAGGAAAGGTGATTAGGTAGTCTGAAGAGAATGCCTTTCGGCCGTCGGGGGCAGTGGGGTGGTAAGGAAAAAGATGAGAAGCTTTTAAAATGGAAATCTATGAAGAGAGAACTGATTTCGTAATTGCATCATCAGTGGGAAAGTAAGCTCTCTGAGGACCAGGTCTGACTGAGAGATCCCCACAGCGTAATAGATAATACATTTTGTGTCTCAGCGTTGCCTATGAAACGCCATTTATTCACTTGGCATGCTGAGCATGGAACCAGGTTTCTTTCTTTCCAAGTAGTTTTGCTAATTTAGAGAAAGAGAGAGACAGACATATACATAGAGAGAGAGAGAGAGAGAGAGAGAGAGAGAGAGAGAGAGAGTGTGAGAGAGAGAGAGAAAAGTACTGAACTGGGAGCGGCAGGGTTTGAGTCAAAAGAGAAGGGTGGAGGAGCGCGTCCGGTGCCCCAAGGCTTCCAGGCGGAGCGCGGGCGCGAGGTGCGGGCTCCGGGGCGGAGCGCACGCCCGGGAGGCGGGAAGTGGGCAGCAGCGCCCCCGCCTGGCCCCTGTGCGCCCCGACCCGACGCCTCCCCGCCCGACCAGGTGCCTCGAGAGCGCACAGCTGGGAGGGCTCTCCCGGTCGCGGCGAGACTCACGCCTGCGGTGTGCTAGGGCGGCGGCGACGGTGACGGGCGTGGGGCGCGGCGCTGCCTCGGCTGCCGGGTCGTTGCGGCGAGCGCGCGGGCCGGCCTGGAGTCACCGGGCTGAACCGCCGCGCCTGCATCGTGCCGCACGCCGCGGAGGCGCTCGGGTACAGACCGCGCGGGCGCGCACAAAGCGGCCCGGGGCGGCCGGCGCGGCGCAGACCCTCGGTGGGCAGCGCACTCCAGTCTTCCCAGGCTAGCGGCTGCAGGGAGCTCCGGCCCGCGGCCCCTCCGCCTCAAGTCTGGGAGCTGCCGGTCCCACTCTGTCTTTGCCTATGGGGATTCGAGAGTTTCCCAGCGGCGCACCCAGGGGCAAGAGCATTGCCGTGTGAGTAGCGCCCCGGGCGTGGGTGAGCGAGCCGGCGGGCGGGAGGCCGGAGCGCCGGGGTAGCCCTTTGCAGCTGGGACACTGGGCAGTCTGAGGCTCGGGGAAGGGCGGCGCGCGCGGTGGAGCTGCTCGGGAAGTTTCAGTCATTCTTTCCCTCGCCACTCGCCCCAACCCGCACTGCCCCGAGACGCCCAGGATAGGGCACTGGGGACAGCTGCCCGGGGAAGTGGGTGAGTGGCGGCGGGAAGGGAGGAGCGCGGGCTCTGCCGCGGCGCTCGCCCCCGGAGGGCCCCGGCCGCGCTCTTGCTCTCGCCCTGGGATCTGCTCCTCACGAATCCCCTCCTCTCTGTCCATGCTCCCCCTGCCCACCCACCTGCCCGTGGCGCCTGCGACCGCAGTGGCATGAGGAGGTCACCGGACGTCAGCCCCCGGAGACTGTCCGACATCAGCCCCCAGCTCCGGCAGCTCAAGTACTTGGTGGTGGACGAGGCGATTAAGGAGGATCTGAAATGGTCGCGCTCCGTGGAGGATCTCACCAGCGGGCCGGTGGGGCTCACGTCCATCGAGGAGCGGATCCTGCGCATCACTGGCTACTATGGCTACCAGCCCTGGGCAGCGAGCTGCAAAAGTAAGACCCCCTCACGTCATGTTTCCCGTTCACTGGTCCATCTTCTTACCATTGTCACAGCAGCCTCGGGGAGCGCACGCAGTGAGGCGTCCAGCCACCCCCTCCCGCCCTGCCTGCTGATACAGACCCAGGTTTGCAACTTCGAGGAAGAGGCCCGGAGACGGAGTTCTCCTGGACCTCTGAGGCGTTCTGATGCGTTCTCTTACACCCCTTCCTCTCCCACACACAGGATCTCTCTGTATCCTTATCTCTCCACTGCCAAATACGGAGGACACTCCTATGTGGCAGACCGTGGGAAACAGATCAGAAACTCAAAGTATCCCGGACAGTGTGGCTTCCCCGCGGATCTGAAAGTCTCACAGGGCCCTCGGTCAGGTCTCACCAGGCTCAGATGGAGATGCTGACTTACATAGCCAGGATTTTAACTCTTCCTTGCATCTCCTAGCCCTGATGATAGAGGACAATTCTTGGGGTCTTCATTTTGGATGCCGTTCACGCCCTTCTCCCCTGGATTTTATCGGTCTTCAGTAAGGAGGTTCTATAGGGATCATTCTAGATAGTGGTGTTGGTCCCTGCAAGTTGAATGTTTGGTGTCAGGTGGAGAAGCTGAAATGTTTTTCTTTCCGTGGGTCCTAGCTAATGGCTTTGAGGATGCTGTGATCAATTAGACAGACATTATCTTATGTCACCAGGACTAATTTGGTGGACATTTCTTTTTCTCACTTTGCAAGAGAGAGGTTGATTATGATGAAATCCAGATATCTATAAATATAACCATAATTAGGTGGTCTCATCA
The DNA here is from genome assembly GCF_000001405.40 of Homo sapiens. Lineage (NCBI taxonomy): Eukaryota > Metazoa > Chordata > Mammalia > Primates > Hominidae > Homo > Homo sapiens. The sequence goes on from NC_000001.11 coordinate 233,906,555, forward strand.
CTGTAGTTTGACATAAGAGATTGCCATTTGCCACCTCAGTCCGTATGAGAAATGGGCCTTGACGTCTTTCATTTGTAATAAAGACTAGATTAATAGCTTGTTGATTTTGAGTTTTTTTCGACCTTTTATTGCTTAAAATTGAAACATTATTTATTGGTCTTTAAGGGGAAAACGGGCGTTTGTAATTTAATCATATTCATCACTAAAAAAAAATGTCTATCTTTAGATTATTCCTAAAACCTGCGAGTCCAAGGCAAAGGTCAGTGGTATGCTAGCAGTTAGCTGGTTAGTTTAAAATTATTTGCAGGAAGAAACAGGATTTGAATGTTTTGTTTTCATGCAACTTGCTTTTAAAAGACTGTGTTTCATTGGGTATAAGCCTTTAAAAAAATTGTCTGTATCTCTTCCAATCTCTTGCCTCTGCTGCTAAAATTGTAGCTTATTACAAAAGGAAGACAAGGGGCCAAATTCTCTTTTTGGTTGAAAAACCCTGGGCATGGGATAACAAAAATTAAACCCCATTGGAAACCATATTTCTTATGGGCATGGATAGAACGCTCAAGTTTTACTTCTGCTTTCTAAATTTCTATTAGAAAATAGCAATTTTCTATTCTTATTTCCATTTTCTGCTTCCTTAATAACAAAAGACAGTGGTATAAATGACAGCCTTCATAAAGTCATCTCTTTGGTGCTTGAAGTCATAAAAAGGTTTTATCTTTATAAATCTATTTGTGACTGGCTGTATGTGCTTTGTGGAAGTTATCACCAAGGTTTGTGATTTGGGGGCTTGCCAGAGAGCTTACAGCAGTGATGACTGTTTGGTACAACATGTTTTGTAATTAAGACAAGAGAAGGGCCATGTGGAAATGGAGTCCCTTGCATCACTGGAGGTAATTCTTAAATGCCTCTCTCTGAGGCTTCACTGGAAGAGTAAATAGTAGCAGGGAAGGCTACAGTGATCATTGAAATATGAATAAAATCAGCTCATTCCACTCTCTCTATTCCTGTGAGGATTCTTCTTTATTCCAAGGTATTTCCTTGTTACTATAACGCTTTAGGTGACAACTGACATTTTGGTGAATTAATTAGGTGTAATGTTTAAATTTAGAGAAGGTAATGTTTTATTAATGTATTAATGCAGCAAAAGAGGTTGTCTTTTTGTTTTTTTTTTCTTTGTTTTTTGAGAGGGAGTCTCACTCTGTCACCCAGGCTGGAGTGTAGAGTGCAGTGGCATGATCTTGGCTCACTGCAACCTCCACCTCCTGAGTTCAAGTGATTCTCCTGCCTCAGCCTCCTGCGTAGCTGGGATTACAGGCGTGCGCCACCACATCCTGCTAATTTTTGTATTTTTAGTAGAGATGAGGTTTCACTATGTTGGCCAGGCTGGTCTTGAACTCCTGACCTCAGGTTATCCACCCACCTTGGCCTCCCAAAGTGCTGGGATTATAGGCGTGAGCCACCACGCCCGGCCCAGAAGAGGTTTTAAGGCAGAACTTTTGCTGTTTGCCATTTCTACTCAATTGATAATAATAAAGAGGCTTATCTATTACCTGTAGGTATCACCTAGTTGCTTTATTTGTTGGTTGGTAATTGTACTCTATAAATGGGGAGAGATGATGGTTACAAAAAAAACAAAACAAAGACAAAAAAAAAAAATTCTCATGATCTCCAGAGTGAGTTATGGAAGCTCCAAGCTATTATGTCACCTTTCAGTCATCTTTCAAAGTGATTTATCTGTGTCCTAACTGAAGGAGTTGCCAGTGAAAGTTTCTGGATGTAAGTCATTTGCCCTTGTAGCAGAAGAAACCATTTGAATGACCCAATATTCATTTGTATCCTCTTCATTTTTAGATTTTGTTTGGGTTGTTAAGATAAATGAGGTAATTGTGAACAGTACAGAAATTACCTTTGCTCAGTATTCTCAACTCAGTCATTTGGATTCGCAAGTTTCGCTCTAGACAAGAGAATTTTGTAAAGGATTCTTTTTTTTTTTTTTTTTTTTTTTTTGACAGAGTCTTATTCTGTCACCCAGGCTGGAGTGCAATGGTGCAATCTCGGCTCACTGCAACTTCCACCTCCCGGGTTCAAGCGATTCTCCTGCTTCAGCCTTCTGAGTAGCTGGGACTAGCACCACCATGCCTGGCTAATTTTTTGTATTTTTAGTAAAGATGGGGTTTCACCATGTTGGCCAGGCTGGTCTCGAACTCCTGATCTCATGATCTGCCCACCTCGGCCTCCCAAAGTGCTGGAATTACAGTCGTGAGCCACCGTGCCTGGCTTAAAATTTGCCCAGCTTCCCCAAATAATAGTATTTTTTTTTAGAAGGAGTTTTGCTCTGTCGCCCAGGCTAGAGTGCAGTGGCACAATCTCAGCTCACTGCAACCTCTGCCTCACAGGTTCAAGCGATTCTCCTACCTCAGCTTCCTCCTGAGTAGCTGGGACTACAGGCACCCACCACCATGCCCGGCTAATTTTTGTATTTTTAGTAGAGACAGGGTTTCACCATGTTGGTCAGGCTGGTCTCGAACTCCTGATCTTGTGATCTGCCCTCCTCGGCCTCCCAAAGTAATGGGATTACAGGCATGAGCCACCGCACCCAGCCTAGGATTCTTTTTTAAAAATCCCAAAGGCTCCTGGGTCTGAAAGGGATGGCTTTTGTGAAACATTCAACTGAGAATTAAACTGTAAACAAGGAAGTAAGAAGGGCCCAGTTCCTCTTCTCAGTGGCAAAAGTCCTCCAAGCTCCACATTCCATGTTTTTGAACCAAACCACTTGGCAGTATTCCTGGGAATTCTTCAAATTATCATCTGTTGAGTGGATCCAGGGCCCAGAAAGCACCTGGGCCACAGGAGGGACTCAATAAATATTTGTTGAATGAATGGATGGCTGCTGCACGAAATACTGACCTCTGGGACAGGGAGCTTTGAATATGCCTCTGTAGTGATTTGTATCATTTACCTCTTTATGCTGACTTCCTGTTATGTGGAATTGCTCTACTCTTTCCTAGTTCTTCCATCACAAGTGCTTCCTGAACCACAGACTGGACCAGAATTCTTGGTGATAAGCTTTGGTTTGGCCCAGGGTTTCTTGATCTCAGCACTATTAACCCTTTGTGCTGTATAAGTATTTGTTGTAGGGAGCTGTCATGTACATTGTAGGATGTTTAGCAGTATCTCTGACCTCTGCCTATTAGATGTCAGTAGCTTACCACCCTGCCCCCTAAGTTGTAGCAACTCAGTATCCCATGGGGGGCAGCCTTTAGTTGAGACCCACTCATTTAGGGTAACCCCCAAATTTATGCTGCAATAGAACTCTCTTCTGTTGCCCAGTAATGCTAAACAAGCAGGCCTACCTTACAAATTCCTGACCCTCTCCTTCCTCACCTTTCTTCCTGGACCACTTTTTAGGTTTTCAGGATGGCCAGATCGAGTAATCATCACCACTGGCAGTGCAAGTGTCTTCTGAAGATTTGAAAGAGCCTGTTCCTTCTGCAGCTGGCATGATTCCACAACCAATCATCATAAATTGACACCCTGTAGGAAGTGCTTTAGAATTCAGGAGACTCTGAACAGTTTCTTTTAATAACTTCCTTTTCTTTCCTACCTTTTGCCCCAGTAGAAGAGAAATGACTGATTAGAATATCTTCTGCTTCCTTTTCCTTTCTCATTTCTCTGGGATGGACACCAATTAGGGAGGAGATGGCTAGAGAAGGGATGAGGAGAATCAAAGACCAGGAAAAATCTGTATAGTAGACAGCCAGCCCCAGGCATCTGATAGGGTGGGACAGCTGGTGGCATTTCCATACAGGAATGATTGAAGGAACATATCTTGGAGTTTCCAGATAGAGGCTCTGCTGCAGGATGAAGGAACATCTGCGAATACTCCTTTATTTTCATTTATTCATTTAAAAAACCTTTTTTCAGCAGTCAGTGTATGTCAGAATAGAGAGAGAAGTGCTGGAAGAGGTGGCTCACTGTCCAGGTGTGCCTTCGTCTAGAAATACAGGTCAACACAAACCTGCATTAGAACACAGACATTCTAAGGGTGGGCAGGATGTTTCCCTTTCCGAAAGGTTTCCCTAAAGGATGTTTTCAAATATTGAACTCTTAAATCCTTTTCTGGGTAAAAAGTCCCCAAAACATTTTACGAATAGCTTTTTTGAAGGGGGTCATGCTTATTGCTTAACATGAAGTGCAATTATCATTTGAGTAGGTTTATACACTTTGTTGAACGTCAACTATTATTCACTACAGGTTCTGGTATGTTGAGATTTAAATGCTTTTTTCCAGAATGTGAATGGAATGAGTTTTAAGTCATTTGTAGAATGGAGAGAGGGTCAGTCTTAAAAGACCAACTGTCTCTAGCCCACTCCAGCCCGCTATTGGCAACGTGAACCTGGGACAGGAACATGCAGGTTAATGAACAAATCCCAGCTTATCTGGGTGGAGGTTTTCTAGTTCAAGCTGAAAAAATGTAGGGCACTGAATAACACACCTGGTGACAAGGAAATTGCATGTTTCAGGATTCTCCAGGTTTAAAAGTTGTAAAGGGTTTGTATGAGGTGAGGGGGAAGGGCTCATGGAAAGGCTGTCTTCCTAGCGTCCCTGTTAGTTCACCCTGAACTGTGAGTATATGTTGCTGGCGTAGATACCGGTGCTAAATGGAACAGTGACTTATAGTATCATTGAATTCATGGTGAGCAACTTCTGTCTGATCCTCCTAAAATAGTAAAGGTCAGGTCAGCAATTCAAAAATGACCCACTTGTAAGAGATGTATAATTTGGTTGTAAAAGTTTATTCTAGAATGGAGCTTGGCATATGAAATATGAGATGGAGAAG